>NC_000014.9:38702622-39005652 GCF_000001405.40 Homo sapiens
GGTTTGCTGCACCTATCAACCCATCACCTAGGTATTAAGTTTAGCATGCATTAGCTCTTTTTTCTGATGCACTCCCCCACCTCCACCCTCTCCCAACAGGCCCTATACACTAAAGTATTAATAGAAGAAGAATGGCAGTAGCTGTTTCCCTGGGCAATCTAAAATTAATCTGTATTTTCATGAAATATATTATATGGTTTGAGACAATAGCTTCTCCTTGGGTAAGACTGAATTTGTATTGTCAAAGTATAAACTTGTTCCAGAAGTAAAGACTGGATTAGGATCTAAAATTAGATTATGACTTACATAATAGATAATATTTTAAAAACTAACAACTCGCTGCATAATGAATTCTCAAATTTTGAGGACTGGTTACCAAGTTAGTTGATTAATTATCCAGGCCCTCTGTCACTATTCTTCTAGCCATTTTATTATTAACCAATATGTTTTTAACAGAGAATAAAAAAATAAATCACAGTATATTTAACTGTTGTCAGCAGCCAGGGTCCACAGGTTGATACCAGAGGTCTATTAAAGATTATTGAAGATTATCTATTAAAGACCAATAATTTTCTGTTCTTGGGTTTGTTACCCATGATTTCCCTGACCCATTTATCCAAATAATTAAGAGTTGTTTACATAAAAGAGGAAAATTAAAAATTTCTTCAAGCCAATGCAAGGTACACATTCTTCAAATTATATGCAAATTTTAAGAAGCAAAAGACTGGGCATGGTGGCTCACACCTGTAATCCCAGCACTTTGGGAGGCCGAGGCAGGAGGATCACCTGAGGTCAGGAGTTTAAGACCAGCCTGACCAACATGGAGAAACCCTGTCTCTACTAAAAATACAAAATTAGTTGGGTGTGGTGGTGCATGCCTGTAATCCCAGCTACTCAGGTGGCTGAGGCAGGAGAATCACTTGAACCTGGGAGGCAGAGGTTGTGGTGAGCCGAGATCACATCATTGCACTCCAGCCTGGGCAACAAGAGCGAAACTCCGTCTCAAAAAAAAAAGGAAAAAGAAACAAAATCCCTGGCCAGATATCTCTGCTAATAATGAACTCTTAATCTCCTAGGATTTTGTTTGTTTTAGAACTCATAATCTGCCATTCGTTTGTTTTTAGTTCTAAGAAAACAATAGAGGACGCATGACAGCCATTTGCAATGAATGTGAGCACTGAAATCATACTGTCCCTCCACAGTTGACCATAGCACAGTAATAAAATCTTTCCTTCCAATCATTTTATGTTCAACAAGCAGGAAGAAGCTTATTCTACGAAACATTCAAAACATTATTTATTCTTTTGTCTCTTGCCTTCATCTTGTCTGTCATCCTTATAGAAGATTTAAAGTTGAAACATCTGAACTACTTCATCTACCTCTACACTCTCTGCTTCCTACAGAAGCTGACCTTTTTATACAACTGTTCAGGCAGCTGGATGACCTTTTATATACAGTAAATTTTCTCCTATTTGGAAAGCTTATACTGGCTTCTTTTCTGGCACCTACACTTCCACGTAGGTAATACATAAATGTGGAAGTTTGTGAATGCTCTTGAAATCCAGCTGGCAGAAAATGCCAGTTTATAAATAAAATTTACCATGCTCATTTCATTTTCCTTTATGTGAAATGTACTCTAAAAGGAAATAGTGTCTTGCTGAACAAAAACTCAAAGAACAAAATATACACAGCTCTCTGGTCTAATGAAAGTATTTTAAATGGGTAATAAGGCATGAAAAGAGAAAAAAATTATAACATGGATCACTGAACCAAATGATCAACTAAGGAGTCCTCTCTAAAGTAACAGTCAACACCCAGCATGCACTTAGGGGGTTGTCAAGCAACAGGGATTTCAGCAGGATCCTTTCTGCTTAAACAAGTTGAAGTTCAATGAAACTGATATGAAACTCAAAGTCATATCAGTGACATTCTACCAGGGAGCAAATAACATTTTTACAGGATTGAGGTTCTTGTTCAGTGAAGTTGTAGTCACGGTATCAAACGCTTGGTTGCTTTAATAAAATAACCTAAAGAGAAATCGCAGCTATAGTTGAAAATGTTAAAAGAAATGTGCTTTAAAAATACTTGATCTACCATCATTTTCCAGAGCAGGAGAACAGAAAGCCCCAAGTAAATTAGGGATCCAATTCAAGAGGCCTCATCTGGGCAGGTCCTCATGCTCTGATTATCCATTTAAGAAATATCTCCTGCCACAATCGATGATCACACCAATTACTTCCTTCTAAGGACTACAGTAAAAAATAACTTCTAGTTCTCATTTCTCAAGCTGCAAAAACTAGGTGTAGAATATTTACTTGAAACTAAGGCTGGTCTTGATTCTAGGCCAGGATCTAGAAAAATTTTCCTATAAAGGGCTATATAGTAAAAGTTTTAGGCTTTGTAGGTCACATACAGTCCGTCACATATTCCTCGAGGTATTTTTGTATGTTTTTTGCAATCCTTTAAAAATGTAACAAACATTCCTAGCTCATGGGCCATGCAAAAATGGATCACTGCTGGATTTGACCCATGAGCTATCTATCATTTGCCGATCTCTGTTCTAAGCATTGTTCTTCCAGTGCTTACCTGCTAACTCCCCTGGAAACTGACCACACACTAGTATAGCCAGCAGGAATCTTTGGTTTGAACAGGCACCCACTCCCAAAATATCTGTTAAGAGATTAAGGGAACCCTTAAAGGAAGGGCTTGTGGCCCATTTGTGGGGAACGCACTCAGCAGATGGCCTCCAGCTGTTAGCTCCTTCGGAATTAGCCTCAGCTGGAGAGAGATGCTTCACTCCAGATTACACCCTTTTCAGAGCAGCTTGCGTCCAGTAATTGAGCACGGCGTGAATATAAATGTCAGGCCATTGTGTTCCAACATGGACAGTTCTGCTTCCTCCCCATTCCTTTCACAGGTCTTGATCCCTAATAAACATCTTGTACCCAAACTCTGTCTCAACATCTGCTTCTGGAGAGTCCAACCTGTGACAAACTTAAACCCTATATATGACAACTGAATTATTCAGTATGCCACACCAAATTAATGAATACCCTTTTCCCAACTGCAAACCAAAACGGTCACTTTCAGTATCACAACTGTACACAATTTTTTTGTTATTCTAGTCAACATCTTACATTTTTTAATTTTTTTCATATCTAAACTTTAAAGAATAATAGAAACTAATTGTGATCTTATTCCTGTGTTTTATGAGATTTCTTACCTCTTTAGAAGTCCTTGTTTGAGTTTCAAGTTTGTGGCAAAGCCCTCAATCATTCTTCAATTACTCAAAATTATTTTAAAGATTTTTCAGCACAAAAGAGAGTTATTTTAAAGATTTTTCAGTATGCTAGTCTCTCTCCATTAACCTATCAAGTCTGCTCTCTACTCATGGGCCTTTCTCCAAGATAAAGATTTTTAATGATTGTGCTTTAATGCAAGGTCACTAACTCACATTGAGAGACATCATAATAAACAGAGCTATGAAACCTGTATTTCTGTTGTAAGGATACATGGAGAATGTTCATCATTAAATTGAGCAGTGTCATCTTCATGAGGCCATTCAGGGGCAATGTTTCTTATCTCACTATCAGAAATTGTTGTGCTTATCTTAAGCAATTCATTTTCTTTTATCTTACCTGAATCATGTAGAACTCATCATGTAAGAAGGCAGTACAGTGGAGTGGTTAAATGGATCCAGACTGCTTCATAGTCTAGTTCTGCGGCTTACTTGCTCTACAACCTTGAATGAATTACTTCAACTTTCTGTACCTTATTTTCCTCATCTGTAAGATGGTAATAATAGTACCTTCCTCACAGGCTGATATCAAGAATGTATATAACATGTACATAATACTTAAAAGTCCTAGCACAGAGAACACATTCAATAACTGTTATGTTATAATTTCCTTTTTTAAATTGGGCTACTTAAGGCCAAATTCATCTTACTCCATGCGGTACATTCTCTGCTAACTTCCCATGTCTTTTTTGCTCTTGGTTTTCACTTTGACTTAAATTTCTGAACCTCCTCTTTTTGAAATGTATAATATTCATCATCTTTTTCTGATTATAAAGTTAATAAATCTGCAAGGTCTAAAATTTATAAAATATGAAATTATGTAACATTAATTATTGATATAAATGCTATTTATTCAATACTTGGTATATGCTAAGCACTATGCTAAACATTTTGCATGTATTAGCAAATTTAACCCTCACAGCAACTGTATTGTTATTTTCTTCATTTTATATATGAAGGAATTAAGACCTGGAATAACAACAAAACTTAACCAGAATCTCACAGTTAGAAGTTGGACCCGCATCTACTTTACGATTTCACCATCCTAAGATAACTACTGGAAACATTTCAATAAATTTTCTTCACTTACATGTGTTCTTTGCCTATATGTGTATATGCAATATACTTATTTTTTATTAAGAAACTTTATATAATTTTAAATTTATTTATGGTTTCATGTCATTAATTAGTATTTAAATAGAGGTTTTAGTAGCTGCATAATACTTTACCTCATGTTTATGTCAAAATGTGTTTGAGCCAGTTGCCTCATTGATTTTGCCAACTTCAATTTTTTTTTTTAATAGAAAAGGTCTCACTCTGTCGCACAGGCTGGGGTACAGTGGTGCAATCATGGCTCACTGCAGCCTCGAACTCCTGGGCTCAAGTCGTCATTCCATCTTAGCCTCCCAAGTAGCTTGGGACTACAGGCATGCACCAAACCACCACACATAGCTAATTTTTTTTCATTTTTAGTAGAGACAAGGTCTCACTATGTTGCCCAGGCCAATTTTATTCACAAAACTTTGACAAACATTCTTAAACATGGAGTTTTATTATCACTTCCAATTATGTATCTAGTGTCAAAACTAGAAGTATTAAGAGATCTGATCATTTTAAGATTATTCATATTTTCAAAATGTATTCAAGAAACGTTGACCAGTTTATTCTCATACCAAAGTCCAAAGGCCTTATGTATCATGTCCAAAGTCAAATTTTGAAATGTGTGTGTATGTATTTAATCCTACTGAATTTTTATTGGAATTGTATTATAAACATAAACTCTCTCAAGGAAAAGCAAAACCTTTACAACCAAGAATATGGCATGCCCCACCATTTATTCAAGTCTTCTTTTATAATTCAGGAAAGCTTTATTTTTCTTTATATAGGTTTTATATGTTTGGGGTAAAAAGTATTTCTAGATATTTCATGGTCTTTATTGTTACTGTAAAAGTGGTTTTTCTCCATTGTATTTTATACTTGATTTTCTATTGAAGGAAAGCTATTTAGTTATGGTTTTATTCCT
This sequence comes from Homo sapiens, assembly GCF_000001405.40. NCBI lineage: Eukaryota > Metazoa > Chordata > Mammalia > Primates > Hominidae > Homo > Homo sapiens. The sequence continues at coordinate 38,707,944 of NC_000014.9, forward strand.
TTTATTAACATTTAACTTGTAACAGAAAATCTTATTTCTCGTATTAGTACTATTCACTGCTTATGGTTTTCTTGCATTTCTAGATGCCAATTTGAAGATCGGTAAAGAAGTAAATATTATCTACTCCCAGCTTCCATCCCCTCCCTCTTCCTCTGCCTTTGGACTTGGTGGAACAGTCTCTTGGAGCAGTGGCACTAAGGGGAGAGCAGAGATTGGTGTGGTCAGCCCCAGCAGGGAATAGTATTTTTTCATTGACATTGTTTAAAAGTCCAAGTTCACAGCAGCAGATATGCTCTCTGTGCCCTGGGAAGACCTCTCCCACCACAGCCCCTGGGTAGCTACAGTTCTGGAAAGGCTCTGAGAGGGCTTCACACAGGAGTACGCTAGTAGGAGATCATACCTGGTTCTACATGGCCAAGAGTGGACAAGGGCATAATAAATTCATTAAATTATCCTAATATTTTTCAAATGTAGACTATCTGTAAGGTGTTTTAGTCTTTAAAAATAACTGATTAAATCAAAAAGGACCATAGTTTGCTGCCTTACCAAGGGTGAAGGTGTTTTATTAAAGACCATAGTAGCATATTGCTCAAACATTATCCCCATATTGTATCTTTATTGACTTAATCTTTGCTTCAGAAGCCATGTGCACTCTAAGTTTGGGATTTTCTATGTGCTCTGGATATGTATGTTTCCTGGAGAACTGCATATTGTGTTTCTAGTTTCATGGCCTTTGTCTTAGGAAACCTAAAGCACATTGTTACACACACACAGACACACACCCCTAATCTCAATGCTGAGGTCACTGCTATGAGTTAGGAGAGTGTGGCTCTATCTCGTTCTCTGCTACCAGCTTGATATATGATCTTGGAAAATTCACTTATGTCTCAGCCTTGCTTTTCATCCTTAAAGGGGAAAAAGAGTATTTCTAACATTCCTATGATTCTATAACAATCAATGCTCCAAACAGCCAACTTTTAGTTTCTCAAAGATTATTATCCAGCTTATGGTTTATGCGTTTTCTTAACTTTTTCTGCCTACTATTAAACATGCAATTTGATAAAAGCCAGTCACAAAAGGTAAAGCCCTGAAAAGCCTAGATCATGAAACGTAAGAGCTTCATATCTGTCTTTTTCTGAGTTTCCCATCAGATACACTAACTGCATGGAGGCATCTGGATTCCTTGGTGTGATAAGTAGCAGCCCTGCACCAGTTTTGTTCTCTTCCTTAGCATTGCCACTTACTAAACTATGACAGCAAAAACTTATCCAACTGCTTGGTTTCAGTGCTGGGAAATGTATCTGGCTTAAGGAGGAAATTAAATGAAAATTGCAATAAATATTTTTAAGTTTATAGGCATTTATTATTTAAAGCTTAAGGTAAATCTATAGCAAAACTAAACTACTCTTAGTGACAAAAGGAAAATTACTTAAAATTCCATTTCTTAGACTCCTGCTATAACATCTAAACATTTACATCATTTTCCTGCCTTAGAAAATACAAAGAAAGCCCGGGTGCAGTGGCTCATGCCTGTAATCCCAGCACTTTTGGGAGGCCGAGGCGGGCGGATCACGAGGTCAGGAGATCGAGACCATCTTGGCTAACATGGTGAAACTCCATCTCTACTAAAAATACAAAAAATTAGCTGGGCGTGGTGGCAGGTGCCTGTAGTCCCAACTACTCGGGAGGCTGAGGCAGGAGAATGGTGTTGACGGGAGGCGGAGCTTGCAGTGAGCAGAGATCACGCCACTGCACTCCAGCCTGGGAGACAGAGCGAGACCCCCTCTCAAAAAAAAAAGAAAGAAAAGAAAAGAAAAGAAAAAAATACAAAAAAAAAGTCTCCTCAATGAATTGTATCACTTACACATCTTCAAGGAATTATAGAAAGGGCATGTGTATTAGTCAGGGTTCTCTAGTGGGACAGAACTAATAGGATATATGTATATATGAAAGCGAGTTTATTAAAGAGAATTAACTCACACGATCACAAGGTAAAGTCCCAAGATAGGCCATCTGCAGGTTAAGGAGCAAGGAAGCCAGTGGTGGATCAGTCCAAGTCCCAAAACCTCAAAAGTAGGGAAGCCAACAGTGCAGCTTTCAGTCTGTGGCCAAAGGCCCGAGAGTCCCTGGCAAACCACTGGTCTAAGTCCAAGAGTTCAAAAGCTGAAGAACTGGGAGTCTGATGTTTGAGAGCAGGAAGCATCCAGCACAGGAGAAAGATGAAGACCAGACGACTCAGCAAGTCTGGCCTTCCATCTTTTCCTGCCTGCTTTATTCTAGCAACGGTGGCAGCTGACTAGATGGTGCCCACCCAGCTTGAGGATAGATCTGCTTCTCTCAGTCCACTGACTCAAATGTTAATCTTCTTTGGCAACACCGTCACAGACATACCCAGGAATAATACTTTGCCTCCTTCAATCCGATCAAGTCGACACGCAATATTAACCATCACAGCATGTTACCATCCCAGTCAGAAAATGAAGACCTGAATCACCCATGCTGAGATGTGAAAATAGTTTATGGTTATTTTCTTCCACACATCCCTCATGGAGAGATCTTTTGAAATGACAACATGGTTACGCATTATGAGTGCTTACTTATCAGCTCTATAAGTTGTCTTATGAGGTAATGAACTATTACTATTTTATTTGATGGTTATTTTATCTAATTAAGTCAACTAACCTGCTGTTCTTTCACATAACGCCTAAAGCTTTGAAGTTGCATATTATTACACACAGAGAGAGGACAAAAGAGAAAGCTGCCAATGTGTGTGATCTCCTGAGCCCTGCTGCCTTTCCCCTGCAGAGAGGCAATGCAGGGCAGAGGAGGAAGACCCTAAGCCACATATCTTTGGTTGAAACACACTACCCAGGAAACACTGGGCAATTGGCATACTCTCTATGCCTCTGATCTATAAAATGAGAATAACACTGACGTTGGCCTCACAAGGTGGTAGTAAGGACTTGAGCTGATTGATGGCTCCTCCTGATACATTGGGTGTGCTATATAAGCATTTTCCCATATCTTCCTTATTGGTGCCCTGCTCCAGCACCCTGGGCTTCTTTAATTCCTCAAATGTGAGGAGCACACTACTTCCTGTAGAACTCTGCGCAGTTTATTTCATAATACTCACCGCATAAGTAATGATGTGTGCATTTGTGTAACTATTTGCTTAAGGTCTGCCTTCTCCACGGGTGTAACTTCCATGACATCAGGAACTCTATTTTGTTCCTCACTGCATAACCAGGGCTATGTCAATGCTCACAATGGATGCTCAATAGATGTTTGTTGAACATGGAGTGAATAAATAGAAAACCTAAAAGAATAAAACCATCTAAATAATTTTTAAACCATTATTGGGTTTGTTAAGTCTTCATGGTTTAAGTCAGTTCCTTATCTGCAGTATCATATTACAATATCAAATCTCAATTTAGCTTGAAACCTTAGAGGTATGCTTTTACATATTTTCTTTCAAAGTGTTTCTTGAGAAACCATATTGCAGAAGTTAATCATGTCTTTTAGAGAACTACATAAATATATTACAGGATCCCTGGGATTATTTCATTTTTTTCTTCTTTGGAAGAAATACCATGAATGAAAATCTAATCAAATTGGATCAGTCAATAGTAAACACAGTGTTACCAGAACAAAACTTCTTACCAGATGATGCAGGACTTTGAAACGTAATATTTTTCCCTTTAGGAAGCAGAGACAAAACTCCAATAAGTTCACTGTACCCTAATGATACTATTATTTATTATTTTGGTTTTGGGAATGCAATTTTTAATGAGGATGTACATGCAGAGCAAGAAAATGATGTTTTGTAGGAAGTACATATTTGATTTTTCACATTACTAGTATATTATTATAATACTACCTTTGTAAAAGAGAATTAGTACCCTGAAAGAGCACTTTGAACCATTCTGGGAGAGGGTTTTATATAAAAATATTATTCAAATCATCATTCAAAATACACAAAGCGTTTAGTAAACCTCTGACCACTGGGAAAGTAAATATGCTTGTCAAAAGCTCTGTTGAGTTAGCAACCTCAGAATGCATCACTGTGCCTTTTGCTCAGTTCATTCAAATATACAACCTAGTTACACATTTATATTTTTCATTTATTTTTTACCTTACTATACATTTTCATTTATATTTTTCCCTAACTACCTTGCTACTCAAAGTGTGGCCTGCAGACCAGCAGCATTGACATCACCTGGAAGCTTGTTAGACATGCAGCCTGTAAGACCACACCTGATGTACTGAATCAGAATCAGCAATTTAACAAGATCCCCAGGTGATTTGTATGCACATTACATTTTGAGAAGCATTGCTGTAAAGTTTTACCCAAAGCAATGAGAGTTAAATGAGGAATTTCAGTGCAGAGAAGAAATATAGTACTTATGAAAAAAGAGCGAATTTGTTAAAGTTCAGGAGAATGGTCATGTAGCAGCTGATGGCAATAGAGTCAGACAGACTTAGCCTCCAGCTCTGCCTCTCACCACCTGTGTACATGAAACACTTCTTAGTCCCACCGCACACCCTCTCAACCTGCCTTTTTACTCCAGCCATTGCTGTGGGAACCAACACTGCAAACCTGTAACCTGGTAATACCTCACCTCAGCTGCTCTAGGTAGCTATCACTTTCACCCAGGGTTTCACTGTTGCCCCCATGAGAGATGCCTTTGGGAACCTGCTCAGTCATTCTAAGCCATCTACATGCCTTGAAGTCAGAATTCTCCCTCATGGGGCAACCCTTGACCAAACCTGAATGACAGCTGCATTCCATTCTAAGGTGCATTTTATGAGACCTCTCGGACCGTTCCCAGCAGAATAAGCCCCATTTGCCCATAGCAGTGGCTAGCTGTATATAGAACTGTGGCTTTCTTCTAACCAGCAGAATATGCAAAGACAGTAGAACATCATTCTTGTGATGACATTACATTATATACAGCTCTCTCTTTCTAACAGACTCACTACTTATTATCTCTCCTTAGCTGGCTCTGAAGAATTAAATGGTCATGTTGGGAAAGCCACATGGCAAGGAGCTGAGAGTGGCCTCTAGGAACTGAGAGTAGACTCCAGCCAACAGCCAGCAAGAAGCCAGGGCCCTCAATCATGCCACAGGGAGGTGAATTCTATCAACACAGCAAGTAAGCTTCAAAGCAGATTTTTCCCCAGTTGAGCCATTGGATAAGGCTGCAGCCTGGCAACACCTTGATTGCAACCATGTGAGGCCCTGAGCCAAGGACCCAGTAAGCCATGCCCTGCATCCTGCCCACTGAAACTGTGAGATAATTAATGTGTGTTGTGTTAAGCTGCTAAGTGCATTGTAACTTCTTATGCAGCAACAGAAAACTAATACACCCTCCATTTTATTCTGCAAGCTCCATGAGGTTAGGGACCGTGTCTGAAAGGTCCAGTGCCTAATAAGAGTGACACAATTAAAAGAACTAGAGAAGCAAGAGCAAACACATTCAAAAGCTAGCAGAAGGCAAGAAATAACTAAGATCAGAGCGGAACTGAAGGAATTAGAGCATTAAAAACCCTTCAAAAAATCAATGAATCCAGGAGCTGGTTTTTTGAAAAGAACAAAATTGATAGACCGCTAGCAAGACTAATAAAGAACAAAAGAGAGAAGAATCAAATAGATGCAAGAAAAAATGATAAAGGGGATATCACCACCGATCCCACAGAAATACAAACTACCATCAGAGAATACTATAAACACCTCTATGCAAATAAACTAGAAAATCTGGAAGAAATGGATAAATTCCTCGACACATGCACTCTCCCAAGACTAAACCAGGAAGAAGTTGAATCCCTGAATACACCAATAACAGGCTCTGAAATTGAGGCAATAATCAATAGCTTACCAACAAAAAAAAGTCCAGGACCAGACGGATTCACAGCCAAATTCTACCAGAGGTACAAGGAGGAGCTGGTACCATTCCTTCTGAAACTATTCCAATAAACAGAAAAAGAGGGAATCCTCCCTAACTCATTTTATGATGCCAGCATCATCCTGATACCAAAGCCTGGCAGAGACACAACAAAAAAAGAGAATTTTAGACCAATATCCCTGATGAACATCGATGTAAAAATCCTCAATAAAATACTGGCAAACAGAATCCAGCAGCACATCAAAAAGCTTATCCACCATGATCAAGTGGGCTTCATCCCTGGGATGCAAGACTGGTTCAACATATGCAAATCAATCAATGTAATCCAGCATATAAACAGAACCAAAGACAAAAACCACATGATTTTCTCAATAGATGCAGAAAAGGCCTTTGACAAAATTCAACAGCACTTCGTACTAAAAACTCCCAATAAATTAGGTATTGATGGGACGTATCTCAAAATAATAAGAGCTATTTATGACAAACCTACAGCCAATATCATACTGAATGGGCAAAAACTGGAAGCATTCCCTTTGAAAACTGGCACAAGACAGGGATGTCCTCTCTCACCATTCCTATTCAACACAGTGTTGGAAATTCTGGCCAGGGCAATCAGGCAGGAGAAAGAAATAAAGGGTACTCAATGAGGAAAAGAGGAAGTCAAATTGTCCCTGTTTGCACATGACATGATTGTATATCTAGAAAACCCCATAGTCTCAGCCCAAAATCTCCTTCAGCTGATAAGCAACTTCAGCAGAGTCTCAGGATACAAAATCAATGTGCAAAAATCACAAGCATTCTTATACAACAATAACAGACAAACAGAGAGCCAAATCATGAGTGAACTCCCACTCACAATTGCTTCAAAGAGAATAAAATACCTAGGAATCCAACTTACAAGGGATGTGAAGGACCTCTTCAAGGAGAACTACAAACCACTGCTCAAGGAAATAAAAGAGGATACAAACAAATGGAAGAACATTCCATGCTCATGGGTAGGAAGAATCAATATCATGAAAATGGCCATACTGCCCAAGGTAATTTATAGATTCAATGCCATCCCCATCAAGCTACCAATGACTTTCTTCACAGAATTGGAAAAAACTACTTTAAAGTTCATATGGAACCAAAAAAGAGCCTGCATTGCCAAGTCAATCCTAAGCCAAAAGAACAAAGCTGGAGGCATCACGCTACCTGACTTCAAACTATACTACAAGGCTACAGTAACCAAAACAGCATGGTACTGGTACCAAAACAGAGATATAGACCAATGGAACAGAACAGAGCCCTCAGAAATAATGCCAAATATCTACAACTATCTGATCTTTGACAAACCTGACAAAAACAAGAAATGGGGAAAGGATTCCCTATTTAATTAATGGTGCTGGGAAAACTGGCTAGCCATATGTAGAAAGCTGAAACTGGATCCCTTCCTTACACCTTATACTAAAATTAATTCAAGATGGATTAAAGATTTGAATGTTAGACCTAAAACCATAAAAACCCTGGAAGAAAGCCTAGGCAATACCATTCAGGACATAGGCATGGGCAAGGACTTCATGTCTAAAACACCAAAAGCAATGGCAACAAAAGACAAAATTGACAAATGGGATCTAATTAAACTAAAGAGCTTCTGCACAGCAAAAGAAACTACCATCAGAGTGAACAGGCAACCTACAGAATAGGACAAAATTTTTGCAATCTACTCATCTGAAAAAGGGCTAATATCCAATATCTACAATGAACTCAAACAAATTTACAAGAAAAAAACAAACAACCCCATCAACAAGTGGGTGAAGGATATGAACAGACACTTCTCAAAAGAAGACATTTATGCAGCCAACAGACACATGAAAAAATGCTCATCATCACTGGCCATCAGAGAAATGCAAATCAAAACCACAATGAGATACCATCTCACACCAGTTAGAATGGCAATCATTAAAAAGTCAGGAAACAACAGATGCTGGAGAGGATGTGGAGAAATAGGAATGCTTTCACACTGTTGGTGGGAGTGTAAACTAGTTCAACCATTGTGGACTAGTGTGTGGCAATTCCTCAAGGATCTAGAACTAGAAATACCATTTGACCCAGCGATCCCATTGCTGAGTAGATACCAAAAGGATTATAAATCACACTACTATAAAGACACCTGCACACGTATGTTTATTGCGGCGCTATTCACAATAGCAAAGACTTAGAACCAACCCAAATGTCCAACAACGATAGACTGGATTAAGAAAATGTGGCACATATACACCATGGAGTACTATGCAGCCATAAGAAAGGATGAGTTCATGTCCTTTGTAGGGACATGGATGAAGCTGGAAACCATCATTCTCAGCAAACTATCACAAGGACAAAAAACCAAACACCACATGTTCTCACTCATAGGTGGGAATTGAACAATGAGAACACATGGACACAGGAAGGGGAACATCACACACCGGGGCCTGTTGTGGGGTGGCGGGAGGGGTGAGGGATAGTATTAGGAGATATACCTAATGTTAAATGACGAGTTAATGGGTACAGCACACCAACATGGCACATGTATAGATATGTAACAAACCTGCACGTTGTGCACATGTACCCTAAAACTTAAAGTATAATAAAAAAAAGAAAAAAGAAAAAAAACAGTGACACATAGCAGTTCTTCAATAAAAATGTTATATGTATAAACATATCTCTGAGTTTCCTAAAACAGAATTCACAGTATGCATGTCTAAAAGTATATTCTTCCAGCATTAATGTGGTATAAGAAGAAACAGCCATGTATTAAATCGCTATCATCGGGCTACATATGATACAAATTATAACACAAAAACACAAATAAAACAGGCAATCATAAAGGAAACAAACCCAGAAATAGTTTTTGCTTTCAATACTCCTAAGTGTCTGACCAAGATTTGCCTCAATATTTTGTCTTGAGGTTTAATGCTCCAGGCTTCAATCACAAAAAGACACAATTAACATTCATTTCCTTCTAGCCTGTTTTCCTATGCCTTTAAAAAAAACAGTTGAGCACATACTATGTATAAAATTAATACCTGCGTTATTTCTCTTAATATCCTATTATGAGCATATTCCTTGTCATAAATCAGCCATTTTTCACAGACACATTTGAAACGCTAGGCCTTGGGTGATTTTGGTAATTTTCTGCCAGCATTCTCTGCCTGATATTATCTTATATAAACAGCCAGTCATGCAGAACAGGTGTGACGCAGCTGACTTCTGCTTTGGTGCAGCCAACTAGACCCAAGTTTGCTAATTTTAGTCACGTCCCTCATCAGAACACTGATTCAGTGTTCCAGATGAAACCCTAACACACTGAACATCACAACACTCTAGTTTATAATAAATTTAAATCCTCTTCTGGCCTAAAACTCCTTGCCAAGGCCTGTTATAACTACTGCAACAAATTGATGCTAAGTTGTTTTATATACATATATAAACATTGGTAATTTGGCCATGGACATTCACTTCCTGGATGAATTTTTCATTTTCTCACTTCATTGCCTTAATCTCACTCAGTATGGATTTCCCATCCAGATGCCATATTAAATGTGTGCCAATAACTAGCATGAGTTGGGCTCAAAAACCCCTTGCTTGTATTGTTATCTTGTTTACTTAGTACCCTCTTACAAAGCTAGTGACAAAAAATTGATTAAATATTCTGGGGGGAGGATAAAAGACACAAAGTCAGAGCTATTGGTTACTTTCAAAAGATCAGATCAACAGGTGTTTGGATCAGTAAGTCTAATTACTTACTTTTCCTTATTGAAGGGACTTTCTAACCAGAGAGAATCTACTATTATTGAAAATCAGCCAAAAACAAAACAAAACAAAAACCTTCTTCAGGAATAAAAATTTCATGCTTGTTTTGTTATTGGTTCTTTGACCAGGAATGGGTCTTCTCTTAAATATCTCAGGGTTGTTCTTTTTTATTTTTATTAAAGGCCATTTCTCTCATTTGATTTCCCAAAAACATTGAGAATAACAGCTAACATACAGTCAGCCCTCTATATCTGAGTTCCATATCCATGGATTCAACCAACCATAGATGCAAAATATTCAGGAAAAAAACCACATTTGTACTGAACATGGACAGATTTTTCTTGTCATTAGCCCCTAAACAATACAGTAAAACTATTTACATAGCATTTGCATTGCATTAGGTATAACTAATCTAGAGATTATTTAAAGTATACACGAAGATGTGTGTAAGTTATATGCAAATACTATGCCATTTTTAATTTTTTTTTAAGACATGGGGTCTCAGTATGTTGCCCAGGCTGGCCTTGAACTCTTGGGTGATCCTCCCACTTCAGCCTCCTGAGTAGCTGGGATTATAGGCACGCACCACCAACCTGTCTTTATTATGCCATTTCAAATAAGAGGATTTTGGTATCCTGGAGGGGAAGGGGGTTGTGGCGGTTTTGGCACCAATCCACCATGGATACTGAGGGACAACTGTACTTGAAAATGGTAATCAAGTCATCACTTTCAAGCCTAGTTGAATCCAGTGCTTCATCTACTCCACACCTGCACCCACACAGCTGAATGTGTCTGAAGAAAAACACATAATTGTGCTGATTGATCTCACTTTAAATTCATGACCACCCATTTCCTAACAAAGCTGACCCCTCCATTTGAACACGTAAATCTAATTCCATCTCTTCTGCTCAAGGATACAACTCCCACAATTGCCCCTTCCTCCTACATGTTTTATTTTCCCATCTGTACTCAACATGCAGTATTTCTATCATTTTTTTAAGGCACTCACAATCCCACTTTCCTGTCCTGGTATGACCCCATTTCCACACTTTGAAACAAATAGACTTGCTCTGTACAGTTTCTCTCTTCCTGTTCTCACTTAAACCCACTCGGAGTATGCTTTTGCCTGATTGCTCCATCAAAACTGCTCCTGCCAAGCTCTCCAATGATCTCCAAAGTGGAAATCCAGATTCTTCATCTTACTTGACTTAGCAGCCTTTGACCTGGTTAAACATTATTTCCTTCTTGAAGCACTTTCTTCACTTGACTTCCGGGACACCACATGGTCTCAAATGCTTCCTCTCAGTCTTGGCTGGTTCCTTTACTCCCCAACCTTTCAATGTTGGAATACTCCCAGCCTCCCTTGCCCTGGAACTTCTCTTTCTTATTATCTGTCTATATCTCTAGCTTCATCTCTCAATCTATCATGATTCCCATTCAAGTTAGAACAGGCTAAGTCTTCCTGGGTTAAAAACAACCACACCCCAGTCCCAGTAGCTTAAGAAAGGTTTCTCACTCATGTTGCCTTTCAGTTGTGGTTTGCCTAGGTATTGTATCCCATGTTGTCCTTTCTCTGGGACACAGCTCGTAGAGCAGCTACCATAAAGAGTACTGCCAGCTGCTGTGACAGAGATAAGAATGTGACATTGTGCATTAATTACTAAAGCTTCCATCCAGAAGTAACATGTATTATTTCCACTTGATTTTAGTTGGACAGAGCAAGTCACAGGGCCATGATGAGTAGAAAAATACAATTCTAACATAAAACCATATTAGAAGGTGAAATGGAAATATTTGGTGAATGACACTAGTGATTACCAAAACTCCCAAATGTGTATCTCCTGCCTAGGCTTCTCACTAAACTCTTTTTTTCATTACCTAACTCTCTGCTCAGCATCTTCACTTAGATATCTAAAACCTCAAACTGGCCGGGTACTGTGGCTCATGCCTGTAATCCTAACACTTTGGCAGATTGAGGCAGGTGGATCACCTGAGGTCAGGAGTTCAAGACCAGCCTGGCCAATATGGTAAAACCTTGTCTCTAACTAAAAAATACAAAAGTTATCTGGGCATGGTGGCGTATGCCTATAGTCCCAGCTATTTTGGAGGCTGAGGCAGGAGAATCACTTGAACCCAGGAGGCGGAGGTTGCAGTGAGCCGAGATCGTGCCACTGCATTCCAGCCTGGGCAGCAGAGTGAGACTCCAACTCAAAAAAAAAAAACAAAAAACCTCAAACTAAGCATCTTCAAAACTGAGGTCTACTCTTCTCCTCACTCCAAACCAAACCTCCTCCTACAGTTTTTTAATCTCAGTTCATGGCAACTCCATGAACTCCATATATAAGCCTCATAAGGGTTTATTGTTGTATCTTCAATGCCAAACAAAATGTGTGGCAAAAAGTAGGTTGAACAAATGAATTGATGAATAAATATTGTGTTTCTGTCTCAGTTCATGCTCTGATTTCTTCACATCTTTAAAAAATGGTAAAGTAGATACCTTACTTAAAAAGATTCTGACTAATTGAATGTAATGATCAACACTGTAGCTCGAGCATACAGGGCCTGTTACTATACCAAATACTGTGTTGAGTTCCTTGCATTCTCTGCCTCTCCCACCCAACAATTAGCCTACAAGTGCTATACAAGTAGTTCTCTGACACTGTTAGCCTCCTGAGTCCGAGCCTTCACTACCTACATCCCCTCCCTCTTCATCCCATATGGCCATTCTCTCTCCATATGTGCATACAAACCTTTTGGGAATCCATTGCATATGTCACATTTTTTAAACAGGTTATCCTGTGATGCACATTAGACATTTCTAAGACCATTTACTACAAGGTTGATTTTTCTTTGAGAACTTATTATATTTACTTTTGGACTCAACACATTTTTTCTCATTAAGCTTCTCAAGTCATCTCTCCTTACTCATCAGACAAATGCCATTCCAGGTGAGGAATTTTGTGTCCTAAAAGCCTGAGTTTTTAAAGAGCTATTTGCAAATTATTGTTATTTTCTGGATCTGACTGACATACCAGGTGAGAGTTGTCAGCTGTTAGCTGACAGTTGCAAATCCAGGGGCCTTAAGTCAAGACTCCAGATAAGAAACACAGCAGCCCAAACTAAAGGTACTATTTCCAAATACATGTCTAGGTATTTGCTTCTCTTTTTTTAGAATAAGATCAGATTATATATAAATTATATTATTGCATAGTATCTCTTTCATAAGGTCTGTTATGGTGATAAAAATCAATAAATATATGTGAAGTGCTTAGAACAGTACAATGCAATTTAAGTATGTGTTGCTATTTTCTTTTCCTTAAGATGACTAATTATTTAATAGTCTAAGTGGGTACTATATTAGGGTTCTCTACAGGGACAAAATTAATGGAATAGACATATATATAAAGGGGAGTTTATTAAGTATTAATTCACATGATCACAAGGTCTCACAATAGGCCGTCTGTGGGCTGAGGAGCAAAAAGAGCCAGTCTGAGTTCCCAAACTGAAGAACTTGGAGTTCGATGTTTGAGGACAGGAAGCACCCAGCCTGGGAGAAAGATGTAGGCTGGGAGGCTAGGCCAGTCTCTCTTTTCAGATTTTTCTGCCTGCTTATATTCTAGCTGTGCTGGCAGCTAATTAGATTGTGCCCACCCAGATTAAGGGTGGGTCTGCCTTTCTCGGCCCACTGACTCAAATGTTAATCTCCTTTGGCAACACCCTCACAGACACACCCAGGATCAATAATTTAATCCATGATTGAATCCTTCAATTCAATCAAGTTGACACTCAGTATTAACCATCACAGGTATACTCTCTTAAATTAGAATCCAAAATATAATCTTCATGTGCTGTTGTTATTAATATTTCAAATCTTTGGTAGATTAAAATAATATGACTTAAGTAGTTTAAATTCACAGTGTAATTGTAACTATACATATGTTTGGAAACCTGGATATATCAATGCAGTATGTGAGACAGGAAAATAATTAGGTTACAAAGACAGTACAGATCTAATAATTCTGTCCTGTTGGAGCACATAACAGAAGAAAAACACACGAGAGGTAACACTGAGACCTAATAAAAACAACCAAAAGGAACTGCCCAGCAGAGAGGAAGAGACTCAGACGCAGCAGTTTTGGCCGCGTAACTGATTGACTAAGCAACCTGAAGCCTGTCATGAATCGGTGTTTTATTCAAATGTGAATAAAGATGACTGCCCCAAATTTTAGTTACCACGGTGTGAAAACATTCATTTTTCACTGTCAGTCAGAAAATATAAATTCTCTGTTAGCTATGTCTCCAGACACACTCTCAGCCATGGCTGGAATAAGCTTTGATTCCATCTAGGCTGGGAGTGTAAACTACTCATTTCCTCACACTGTACCACGGCTATCCCAATACAGGCCTCCAGGAGGCAGTGTCTCTTCATTTTAACTGAGTGCATGAATTCTGCCAGTTCTTCAATATACTTAACTTCTGTCTTCATTCTCCTAGGAAACCTTTCTAGTCCAAGAGAAAGTATTCTGTAATGGTAGCCCTCCCACTGGCCCACCCATCATGGAATAATGCATCATGACTTTGCTAGGTTGGGTGAGTTCGTTCAAAGGTCACACACAGGCCTTTGGTTTCGGGAAAGGTAGAGAGAAAGGGACCACAATTTTGAGAGTAAAAGGACAGGAATGATTTTATGTTTGCAGCACTTGAGGGAAGATGTGATTTTTAAAACAGAGCTTAAAAACCTAAACAAACAAAAAATTCTTGGCCCTCATATGTGTATAGGTTGTCCTAAGGAATGCCTTTATTGCTTTACATATGACAACCAAAGTTCCTGTTGAGACCTCAGGTTGACACTTTGTTACTTTTCCCACTGAAAGTTGCTTTTGATGTTCGTTCGCACTGATTTTTACCTTCAACCAAGCCCTTGGATGTGATGTTAGCCATTGCCACTATCAAATACCCTAGAAGAGTGGATATAACCCTTTTTTGATGAGTGTCTTTGAAGTTCCAATGAGATACATGTATATTGCTGAACCTACACATATGTATATATCTTTATGCTTTGCTAACAATTTCAAGGATCTCCTAGACTTTGTTCAGTAAAGTCTTCTAGGTGAAGAAGAGAGAGCCCCTTACAGCTCTCTCACTGCTATCCTAGGTCAATTAGATTAGTCTGGTAATTAAGTGGTTTTTTGTGAACCAGTAACTGTATTGAAAGTCAAATATCAACAATTCAGGAAAACTGTCTTTGACTTCTTTATTTGGAAATATTCTATGAAGAGAGAATTTTTAATCACCACATAGGACTGATGTTTTATTTGTAGTTTGATCACCAGGTAACTGCTTCATTCATGCATTTCATTTATTTTTACTATCATTACCTCGCTTTACATAATAATATTTAACAATTACTGTAATCAGAACACTATTCACACTTTAACCAAGTGTCTTTTATGACACTCCTGAGAAAGAGATATCTCTTCTGGATAACCAAGCCAGAGAAGAATAGTTCAATAGCTTTATTACTATGATAGTGAAAGTTGATATCAATGCTAAATTGATGACTCTCTATCCTAGGATCATCAAACCACACCTTTCTCCTTTATAAAAGTCAGCAATACTTCCACATTTGCTAATTTCATAAATGATTTAGTAATATCAACTAATACAAAGTATTTGCAAAGCATCTGAAAAAAGTCATTTTCAGACAAAATCCTCATCAAGCTTAAAATTTCATGTCCTAAATTTAGAATATTATAGTCACAAAAACTACCTCCATTTTATCATAAAGTGTCTATTGATGTCACCACCACTGTCATTGTTGCAATTGTCATTCATTGGTTCAAGCTTTAAGATCAGAGTGGCACCTAGTGGTACATTCTTTTTCTTTTCCCCCTCTTTTGTTCTGCTTCAAATTATCAACAGGTACACTTTGAATACACATTGAGTACTCATTATAACAACTTTATTAATGAAATGCTTACTACCACCACTTCCCTAAACTTATAGAAACAAATCATTTTGGAATTTGAAATCTCATATTTTGAAAATACGTGACACGAAAATGTTGTTGACAGAACGGAAGCTCATTGGTAATATTTACTGACAATGAAAGTTCTAAAATGGAATATAAAAATGAGATGTTTCTTTAAAAATCAAGAAATGTAAAAGGCATGCTAATATGATAACGGCCATCCCAAGACAATAACTCAAGAATTAACTGTCTGCAAATAATCATCTGTGAAACAGTACCTTGACTTTAAAGTCCTTAAAAATGCAAGCATGAAGATAACGGAGCTAATCATACTAATTAACTCACTGTGCCTTGTAACAAATTAATTTTGAGTAAAGGAACAGGCAACTAGAGAAAAAGGCCAAAATCTCAATTAGTTAATCTGAATAGAACATAAATACTCTCAGAACTTTTTTGGCCTTTAGAATAAGAGTAGAACCGGGAGGGTGGGAGCAGTGATCACTCCATGCTGACAGCCTGGAATTGTTATTTATGGCACCGTTTTTCAGTTCTACATTCCAATGCGAGAATTTACCACGTTTGGGCAGCAGAACATGACAGGTTGACGTAGACTATCCATAACAGGCTCCACCCTCAGAGAACTAATCTAACCTGAAACTTTAACAAGCTCTTCCTATTACTAGGAATAATAGCTTAGCTTCTGTTTAAAATGTGTTCCTGACAGGCAAACTTTGTAGACTAGGTCCTGCTCAGTACCATCAGCATTCATTTTTAGTCAGCAAGTTCTAGGTAAGAGTCCTTTGCATACCTGCTACCATTTTTCAAAGACTATATCACCATTCTAATAAATGCTGATATTGTGAATGTTTAGAAAGTAAAAATATAAAGTAAGAGTCACTCCTTACTCCTAGAGGATCTAGTTCTTGTATCTGCCCATTCCTGTCTCCTCAGCTTCTTCTTCCACAGGTTTGAGCTTCCATGTCTTCAAAGGTACTCAGGTGTTACCGGCTGAAAAGCTGTGTTTCACTGATGCTACCACGTCTCTCTCCAGCCACCACCCTCAAGGTAGCCTTCCTTTCACAAAGTTCTTTAAAGGATATTCTAAATACAGTGTTTTCATGCTCTCACACACACACACACCTTAAAATTCCTGTCATAACCAGCCCCTCCCACACCACATTCATAAATATAAATAAATGAAATAAAATAAAATAAAATAAAATAAAATAAAATAAAATAAAATAAAATAAAATAAAATAAAAATCAGGCTTCCCAAACTACTTTTCTTCTGAAATCTGTCAAGGCTGACCGATGACCTCACCAAATCCAGTAGCTTTTTCTTAACCCTTAGTTTCCAAGGCCTGTCTGTTCTAGTCGACATTATTGACTACTGTCTTCTCAAAATGCTTTCTCCTCTTGGATTCCAGGACACCACATTTCTCTGATTTTCCTCCTCCCTTTACAACTCCAGGACATATATCATATATTCTCTGTCTGAGTACTATATACTTCTACTATGTGAATGAGTACAGTATTGACCACAATTATGTGTATTTTTTCCTTAAAGAAGAGAAGGTAATACAAGGACAATGGAATGACGAGGGAGAGGGACAACAATGTACTTTTTGGCCAATTACACCTTTGTGTGATGTCTGCAAAGCACACCCCATTCTGAGTAGCTAGATGTGTGGTTTAAAGGAGAACTTGGAGACTCACAGGACATAGGAGACATCTGGCCTTCTGAGACCAATTGGGTGCATTCTAAATACCTCCTGAGCCCCCAGCAGGCCTACTAACAGATATGACCTTAGGTAGATTACATTGATTCATAGCCTTTTCCAATAGCTTATTTGTTTTTAACATTATCATTTACTGTGTTTAAGATTTCTATTCAACAGACTTTTTAAAAAAAGTTTTAAACCGTAAGGATATGCTCTGACCATTTTTTGAAATTATCAGGTGTCAGTTTGACAAAATTACCAACTCTGAGTATATTCTTAATATTAAAATTACAAATGTTTTGTCCTTTATTTAGTTATTCAAGTAAGCAGAGGAAGGCACATTCTCTAAAGGCAATTAGAGGAAGCTTGTTGAAAAGATCATTTTGGTTGTTTTCATTCTGTTATGAAATGCCACTTCTGTTATAAAATGTCATTCTGTTCATTTCATTCTCTAACAAACTTCATCCTGTTAGATATCTCAGAACTCAAACTACGAAGAATTTTAAAGCAAATGAGTAAATTGATTGTGAAAACATGATGCTCTGCATAGCACACCGATGGCCTCTGTTCAGAATTGTTTTGTTTCCTAATAATGAAGGTCAATTAAACCATAAAATGATAATCCAAAAGAATCCCCTATGGAAGATTCGAGGAAGGCCCAGAAGAGGGATACTAAAATTGAAAGGGAAGAGCAGCTCTACTGGCCATCTAGAGTAAGTGGGAGAGACAGGCAGTAAATATCCTAAAACCACCTATTAGCCTGCATCCTTCTACATTTCTGGTCCTCTCTTAAGAAGATTAATTGATACCATTAACTTCTTAGGGTTTTTTTTCCTTTTTATGTACATATGTATGTATGTATGATTTTAGAGATGGGTCTTCCTATGTTGCCCAGGCTGGAGGGCAGTGGCTATACACAGATGCAGTCATAACACCCTAGTCTCCAACTCCTGGGCTCAAGTGATCCTCCTGCCTCAGCCTCCCAAGTAGCTAGGACTATGGTGCATACCACTGTGCCCAGCTAACATCCTGTATTTTGGTATATGAGCTTCTTTTTTTCCACTGTAATAATCTGTATTGTCCTTTGACTTAGAAATTCTGCAGTCTCATTTGGAGAATGGGATATGTGTAGATAATAAAATTTGGAATTCTTCCTCTTCCACAAATGTATTATGTAATTATAATAATTTCTATCATTTCTGAATGCTTACTCCATATCAGACACCATGTGAAGCACTTTGTAGACATTATCTCATGTGATCACAACTATTCTACATGGTAGTATTGCCCTCAATTGATTGACAAGAACCTGTGACTCAAAGAAGTAAAAAAAACTTGCCTATTCCCTAGTAGGCAGATTCAATCAATCAATCAATCAATCAATCAACACAAACTCGCCTAGGAAGTAGCTGAGCCAAGATTCCCAATCTGCATTTTTTTTTTTTTACTCTGAAGGAACATGCTTTTCCCAACTAAATTAATATTGCTGTTCACCATATTTCTAATGTATAATCACTGGACACTGGAGTAGACACATATTTTTAGCACCCTAATCCAGATAAGGAACTTTAAATGCTCACCAGCCCAGGCTGTGTATCCCAGCATGTTAGGAACCAGGAGGGAAGTTAGGACCACTAAAAGAAATAACTGGACCAAGAAGCAGCTTCTCCACCCCTTCTGGAATCTCTGCCTGGTTCAGCCCACCTGCCTCCACTCCTGCCTCCACCATGTCCATCAGGGTGACCCAGAAGTCCTACCAGGTGTCACCTCTCTCCCAGGGGCCTTCAGCAGCCACTTCTACACGAGTGGGCCCAGTGCCCTCATCAGCTCCTCAAGCTTCTCCCAAGTGGGCGGCAGCAGCAGCTTCCAGGGTGGCCTGGGTGGAGGCTATGGTGGGGCCAGCAGCATAGGAAGCATCACCGCCTTCACAGTCAACCAGAGCCTACTGAGCCCCCTTAACCTGAAGTGGACCCCAACATTCAGGCCACGTGCACCCAGGAGAAGGAGCGGAACAAGATACTCAACAACAAGTTTGCCTCCTTCATCGACAAGGTACGGTTCCTGGAGCAGCAGAACAAGATGCTGGAGTCCAACTGGAGCCTCCTGCAGCAGCAGAAGATGGCTTGGAGCAACGTGGACAAAATGTTCCAGAGCTATATCAAAAACCTTAGGCGGTAGCTGGAGACTCTGGGCCAGGAGAAGCTGAAGCTGGAGGCAGAGCTTGGCAACATGCAGGGGCTGGTAGAAGACTTCAAGAACAAGTACGAGGATGAGATCAATAAGCGTACAGAGGTGGAGAATGAATTTGTCCTTATAAGAAGGATGTGGATGAAGCTTACCTGAACAAGTTAGAGCTGGAGTCTCGCCTGGAAGGTCTGACTGATGAGATCAACTTCCTCAGGCAGCTGTATGAAGAGATCTGGGAGCTGCAGTCCCAGGTCTGGGACACGTCTGTGGTGCTGTCCATGGACAACAGCTGTTCCCCGGACATGGACAGCCATCGCTGAGGTCAAGGCTTAGTACGAGGAGCTAGCCAAGCGCAGCAGGACTGAGGCTGAGGGCATGTACCAGATCAAGTATGAGAAGCTGCAGAAGCTGGCTGGGAAGCACGGGGATGAACTGCGGCACACAAAAGCAGATCTCCCAGATGAACCAGAACATCAGCCGGCTCTAGGCTGAGATTGAGGGCCTCAAAGGCCAGAGGGCTTCCCTGGAGACCGCCATCACAGTTGCCGAGCAGCTGGGGAGCTGGCCGTTAAAGATGCCAACACCAAGCTGTCCGAGCTGGAGGGTACCCTATAGCAAGCCAAGCAGGACTTGGAGCGTCAGCTGCGTGAGTACCAGGAGCTGATGCACATCAAGCTGGCTCTGGACATCGAGATTGCCACCTACAGAAACCTGCTAGAGGGCGAGGAGAACCGGCTGGAGTTTGGGATGCAGAACATGAGTATCCACATGAAGACCACCAGCGGCTATGCAGGTGGGCTGAGCTCGGCCTAGGGGGACCTCACAACTCCCGGCCTCAGCTACGGCCTGGGCTCCAGTTTTGGTTCTGTCGCGGGCTGTAGCTCCTTCAGCTGCACCAGCTCCACCAGGGTCGTGGTTGTGAAGAAGATCAAGACCCGCAATGAGAAGCTGGTGTCCGAGTTGTCTGACATCCTGCCCAAGTGAACAGCTGCAGCAGCCCCTCCCAGCATACCCTTCCTGCGGCTGCCCCAGAGCCTAAGAGGGAGGCCGCTGTGCAGGGGAGCACAGAGAACAGGAGACCCACCTGAGGCTCAGCCCTAGCCCTCAGCCCACTCACGGGGGAGTTTACTGCCTGGGGACACCCCTTGCCCATGCCTCCAGCTACAAAACAATTCAATTGCTCTGTGTGTGTGTGTGTGTGTGTGTGTGTGTGTGTGTGTGTGTGTGTGTGTGTTCAAAATAAAACCTCAGCTAGCTCTGCCCAAAAAATAAATAAATAACTGAGGACAAACAGCCTTACTTCTCCCCTTCTATGGATAATGGCCCCCACTGTTTATTATAAGATGTGACTTGCCTTAGTAATCAGAGAAAGCTCAATTAGGAAAGAATGCGAAGCAGTGCTATATTTTGGAGAGACACTTTATCCATATAATTTTCTGTGAAAGCCTATTCCTGTAAGCAGGATTTGGAATGTGTTGCTTACTCTCATAATCATCAAAACCATGAAATAAATACATCTTTTATAAACCTACAGCCCAGATTGGCCTCCATCTTCAATTCTAGGCACTCTGGCTAATGCCAGTAAAAAGAAGAAAATTAATTCATGCCTTAATTAGACCAAAATTATTATTTCTAAGTGGATCTCTTAAAGTAAATCTCAAATTGATTTGTGTGTGCGTGTATGTGTGTATGTGTGTGTGTATTTTAAAAGCATAATGAGGTCATATGTTCTCAAATGTGCACATTTTGGCACAAGCAAGTCTACCAGAAGTCTTCTGAGAACATAGCTTATTAGATTATACAATTATTAAAGATTGACCTTTTCTGTTAGGTTTAATGAACCAGAAATTGCATTTTTAACCTTGACTGATGTGACAGATGTCAGTCATCTTTTTTTAATCTATCTGAAATAGATTATAAATTAAATTGGTCCAAAAACTATTTTATTAGACCAGCAGAGGGGCAAAAATAGCCAGTGGTAATGGAGAAAGACTTCAAGGAAGATTCGTTCTGAATTCATGTTAAGAAGAGGGCATATGGCAATGAGAATGACTGATTTACAGACAAAGTCATGAGATCTACTGGGAGAGGGGAAATCCTGTAGCAGGGCCTTGAAGCCCTTGTAACTTGCATGTAATATAAACATGTACTCAAAGCCCAGTGAAGACCGCTACACACCAGACAGAATCCCAACAATGTGAAACGTATATTCTCAAGCCATACCTAAAACAAGTCTATCACTAAGCTTACAACACTTTTTACAATTGTCTATTGTTGCATTTTATGACTTTCAATGTAAACATTTTGTACGTATCTCCCTTACCAATCAATTGACTATTTCCATTTCAAACAGAATCTATTTGCTGCACAGTATTTCATGTGTTAGGAAAAGTCAACATCTCCATTAATTTTATAAAACAAGCATCTCCATAATGCCTCCTTTGTTTTGTTCGTACCATTTTTTCTTCCTATTTCCTTTTTAAGGATATTATTCAGTTTGTAAAAGATTTTCTAGTGAATAAACTTGTGACCTCCACTTTTCCCACAAGCTTCTTAATACATTGCAGGTGAGATATTTCTGTGGGTTGAAGCTACTTGCATGAAATGTTGGAATAATGAGTAAGTTCAATCAATTCTGCAAAACAGCTGGTCAGTTCTGATAGGAGGAATATAATCAATATAACAAATTGGACACACATTCCACTTCAGACACTGGTGCAAGGTGTCCCATTGACTCAAGAACAAACAGAAGCCAGCCTCTGTCCTCAAGGAGCTTGGAGTCCTGGGGTAGGAACAAAATGTGTGTAAATGACTGTAAGTCCTTTGGTGTTAAGCCAAGAAGGTAAACTCGAAAGTTGATAAAATAGGTTTGCTCAAATAAAATCATCATCTTTACTGGTTCATTTGGTTTATTTTAAAGGAAAGTAACGAGTTTATTTTTCAATACATAGAGAAGCATTAAAAAAAGAGGTGGGAGAGGCATTTTATAACTTGTCAAATTATGATTTTTTAAGTCTTATGTTTTTACACACACACACACATCACACACACAGGTGATGGGGCTGCCTTCCCTTCCCTATCCCTGGCAGGAAGTCATCCCAGTGTGAACAGCCAGGATCACACAAGGAAGGGGTGAGAGTAGGGCGGGACCACACAAGGAAGGGGTGAGAGCAGGGCAGCACCCCAGCAAGGTCAGGAGATTACTTACTGGAGAATTGAGTAAATAAGTAAAAATATCACGAATAATGATAACCAGGCTTTTCACTGTCAGAGAACATGAGGTACAAATATGAGAAGGGGGAAGGAGAAACAACCCCTGCAGCATTAGATTGGAATTAAAGTTTATCTGGATGAACTCATGATTTTCAGTGTATACCTAGAAAGATAGATACAGAGATATAGAGAGATGAAAATGTGTATATACACATGTGTATGATACATATATGTGTGCAGATATGTATATATTATGTAGGTGTGTATGCAGGTATGTATATACTTGCATAGATTTCCTTGCTCTGACCACTGAGAGGACCTAGGGGCAGCAACATCTCAATAGCAATAAAGCACACCAAGCACACAGATCTCGACTTTTGAATGCCACTTCTCCATCTTAAAAGACAAAAACAGGACATCTTAGACAAATGGCCAACTCCAGGGTGGTTGGGGCAAGGAAAGAAGACGTGCTTGTGCACATCTTGGTACATCAGGTTTAGGAAGCTGTCACTGGTCAAATCTGGGACAACTTGAACATCAAAATAAATAATCATTGTAATGGATTATAACTCATCGATGTAAGTCTCTAAGTACACACTTATATCAATACATATGTACATATACACATACATACATCTTTACATACTACTGAATGGCAACTAATAATGGCATTTGGCAAACTGTTATGCTAACAATTAACTCAGGCAAGAAACATCAATGGAGGCTAAAACTGGTAGATAAAATTGGGATGAGTAGATTTTACACAGTCTCCAAGTGACTTTCCACAAAATACCCATTATTACAAAGGAAAAGATAGATAGGTTTGCAGCAGAAAAAAAAATGTCAGACATCATCTTAACTAGGGGATCAGTGTTAACTTCTCCAGCAATGAGACAAGTAGACAAACAACTGCCATCAGAGAGGATGAAGTAAGAACACAGCATCACTTCTGTGA
Source organism: Homo sapiens (assembly GCF_000001405.40). NCBI lineage: Eukaryota > Metazoa > Chordata > Mammalia > Primates > Hominidae > Homo > Homo sapiens. The sequence continues at coordinate 38,731,668 of NC_000014.9, forward strand.
AATTCTGGCCAAAAATTCTGGGTCTTAACATAAGGAAACATCAAACAGACCCAAATTGGCCTTTAATCTTCATAACTCTTCAAGGTCATGGAAAGTAAAAAGACTAAAGAATTGCTTCAGGTTTGCAGTTTGAGCCACATTACAGCTGGGTGTAAGGTTCTGTCCTAGATCATACCCCATTGTTATAAAGGAGACTAAAATGGAGTCTCTGGGGTAAGGATATATTTGAGACATTTATACATTTAACTTTTCTGTACATTTGAAAATGTTTCAAAAATAAAATTATAAAAAGAGGTAATGAGTAAAAGCACTTACTCTAAGGGTAATGCAAGTAAAGTGAGGTGGGGTTCAGAAGCTAGAGAATCCCATTTCCATAGTAACAGAGCCCAGGTCTGCCTTCAGTATTACTGTATCTTGAGAGCCCAACCCAGTCCTTCACATAATTGGCATATGTTGAATGAATTCTTTGGTTAATTGAGCAGAGAGAAGGGGAGATGTCAGCCAAGAAAGGTTTCATGAAAGAGACAGAGGGGAAGAGGGGGCAGTCTAAGCATGGGAAAATGAATAAAGAAGGTCACAGAAGTGAGAAAGCAAATAGCACACGAAGCAGCAGGTGGTTGGAGTAGAGAGAATGTTTTAGAACACAGGAGAAGTGATGGTTAGGAAAAGTAGTTCATACAAGATAAGAAATAACCTACAATATCAGGGTGAGGTAAGGAAAGAATACTCATTTTAGAAGGCAATTGAAAAAGCTTGTTAGTCCTTTCTAAGCAAAGCCCAATTAATCTTTTTTTTCTATCTTTGCTCTAATAGAGGTACCAAGGCCCAGTGGTGTATCCAAGGAGGAAAGAATACAAGCAAAGATTAGGGATAGTCTGCAGTTACATGACAAAATCCCCCAGGGAATTCTACAGGATTATGTTCCATAAACCCTATGTTAGTGTTTTGTGATGGAATAATTTTGAATTGGGCTAAATTAACCATATTTTTATCCTAAATGACTCTTTACTGGGATATTCCAAGAGGAAGAGAATATGCAATTTGACCGAAGTTAACCTCAGTACCATTCCTCACTCCACCTCCATCCACCAGGAGACTCTAGAGGAACCGCAAAAGCGCACTCCAGGAAATGCTGTTTGTGTGGTTGAGCAGAGGGAAAAAGGCTTATGCCAGGTATTTGTGAACAGCCATCTCAACCCTATAAGGCATGTGAGGATTTTAAGTGAAATCAGAGATAAAGTATAAAGTGATTGAACTCAAATGGTGGCAGAGGAGCAAGGCCCTGCACACCATAATTTGCCTACTTCTTTCTCTCGACCTCTGTCAGTTTCTATGTAAACAGCCACACACAAAGATTTTAAGGATAAAGTCAAGCCCTCCCAAGGGCTCGCATGAGCTGACCTCTTTGTGGCACTGTGCTAGCTGTGGCCCAGTTACCATGGATGTCAGAAGAGTTAGAGGAAGCTTGCAAGAAAGCATTGATTCATGAATGGGTAAGGGTAGTGCCTATGGCAGTTGGGGTGTAAAATAAGGCAAAAAAAAAATGAAATGAGTGGGTAGAGATTGAGAGGCCCGTTTGATGGAGGCTCAAAGTGCTGCAGGCCTGTACTCATTCTCTCATTCTACCAACGCCGACAGGAACACCTTCTTCAGTGAATGTTCCCATTCAGGGTCTGGTGACTCTCACTGACAGACATACATTCAGCCCAGAAGGAGGAATGACTGATGATGTCTATGGAATTGAAATTCAGCAGCGCGTAAAGTATGCACAGTGCCTCTTCGGTGACCATATTGGACAATTACCAAGTTGAAAGATACATAAGTGCCATGTAAACTTTTCAAACATTCAAGGAGCAAATAGCTCTTCCCTGCACAACTGTGGTTCTTCCCATGAGAAGGAGGAAAGCAGCAAGCACTGGTAGTAGCAAAAAGCAAGAGATAAATGGAGAAAAAGTGAGAAACGTCTTTAAGGTTTCTCCTCCAGGTACCATGGAGTAGAAAAGAGGGAAGATTTGAAATGGAGAAGGGAGGACACCTGCACATGCATGCAATTAATTTTTTGAAAAGGTATGAGATGCCCCTCCGTGATTCTCAAACTTCAGTTTGCTCTGGAGTTCCCTGGGCAGTTTGATAAGAAAGCAGATTGCAGGGTTTCATGTTCCATAAGGTTAGGGCTCACTAGGTTGAGGCGTATACTCAGAAGTCTGAAAGATAAAAAGATCTTCAGATGATAATAATGCCAGCGTCCTTTGACCACAGTGTTATAAATCCTGGGCTATGACGATCTAGTAAAAGTTATTTGGGCTGAGCGTTTCCTGAGACTATAATGAGTCCATGACTGAGTGAGCCAAAGCTGATGAGCAGGCTAACAGAAGGCTCCTAGCACAGGTGACTAGAAAGGGATAAAATATAATCTCTTTATCCTCTATGTATGGCTCTATGTCAAGGTCTTGCATATCAGTGGAGAAATATAGCTAGATATAGGTATATAGATATACATATAGATATGGGGGGGAGGAAGGGACCCACTTTAGGTAAGAGAAGTATTGAACAAGAGAAGAAATGTAATATGGTCCAGGTCTTGATGTTATATAGTTGAATCCAAGTAAATTAATACATAATCCACCCTAATTACTAAAAAAAATTGAGCTCATCTAAACCCTTAAAATGAGGGACTCTATTCCAAACGGTCAGCCACATGTGTCCCCTCACAGCCATGTCCTGGAGGCAGCGAACTACTGAGGCGAGAGCCCTACAAGAACATGTGAGAGCATATATCTTTACAGGGTGGTGATCTTATTCCTGTCAAGTATATGGCCAGAGGGTGATTGCTGGGTCATATGGTACTTTTGTTTTTAATTTCTTTAGAAATCTCCATACTGTTTTCTATAATGGTTGCACCAAGCTACATTCCCATCAACAACGTACAACTGTTCCCCTGTTCCCTTTTCTCCACAGCCTCAACAACATTTATCTTTTGACTTTTTAGTAATAGCCATCCTAACAGGTGTATAAAAAGGGTAACTTTGTGAGATGATGGATATCTTAATTTGTTTCACTATGGTAACCATTTTACTATATATAGTATCCCCTATTATCATGTTGTATACTCTAAATAAACACAATAATTTTTTTGAGCCCTGCATGATAGTCACTCTTGCCTGGTTTCAAATCTGGTTCTGAAACTTCCTTGCTGTGTGACTTTGGACAAATCAGATCATACAACTATCTGAATCACAACATTTTTGTAATAAGGGGATTTTAATATAGGAAATTGGTTGCACATATTTTGGAAGGGCTAAAGAAGAAAAAGAAGGAGGGGTGCTGTAGGAGAAAGGAGGAAGAAAGACTGACACCTAAAGATTAGAAGCTGCTAAAGCCCCTGCATTGAGCCCTTTAGCAGCACCTGCTACTGTGCTGCTGGAGAAACTATCTCAGTTGGTTCTGCATTCATCAAAAAGTTCCTGTGGTGACTAGGGTTGGAACCACAGAAAAGATGTTGACTTGGTCCAAGCGTCGGGACTTCAGAACGTCTCTACCTTTGTTGTCATAGCAACAAACAACAACCGCCACATTATTAGTGTCAAAAGCAGGAAACTTCTCTCGGTTCACTTCTGATCTTCAAACAGGAACTTTAGATTCCCATTAGCATAATTGAAAAGTAAGCCAGCTGGCAATGGAAGCTGGGAAATGTAGTTTGCAGACTTCAAGCCTCAGTAGCATAAAATATAGCATAATTGGGCAGATGTGAAGCTGAGAAAGATGAGTAAATAACTAGCACAAATGCTCATGAGAGATTGGCCTGTAGTTTTCATTCTCACAGTGAATTTCTATCATTTCTTTTAAACATGTCTTTATTTTACCATATATTTCAGGTATACAACATGATGTTTTGACATACTTATATATAGTAAAATGGTTACCACAGTGAAGCAAATTAACATATCCATCACCTCACATAATTGCCCCTGTATGTGTGTGCGTGAACGCATTTAAAAATCTACTCTCTCAACAAATTTCCAGTATACAATTGTTATATTTTCCTCTAATTTGGTCTTGAGGTCTCTCTCTGGAAAGTGGTACAAATTCCAATGCTGCACTCACAGGGCTCCAGGGTAGATGGTCATGGATATTTACAGTGTGCTTTCACAGGGTACTTCTTTATTCTCATGGATAGCCTAATGCCCAAATGTTCAACCCATGACCAGGTGTCTCTTGCACAGGAAAATCTTTATTCTGGCAGACACCCCTGTGGGACTCTTGTCTGACCTGTGGATAGCCACTCTCTAGGACAGAGCCTAACTTTTCTCCAGGAAAGAAGTTAGGTTCAGGTGTATTGATCAGATGAGACAAAGAGGAGGCAGCACAGCAAACAAAATAACAGAAGCAGTTTCTTATTTACAAATCCCAGATGGAAGAGGGCAGCACATCTTGTAGGGCCAATGGGAAACGGGAGCTTTCAGGACATGCACACTCAATCAGTTGGGTAGGGAGCAAGAGAGAAAGAGAGGGACTTATGGTACCTCTGTCTTTCATATGGTTCAGGGAATTGCCCAAACAGATGCTCCTCAAGGAGTTCTAATTGGTGGGTTTAGAGCAAGCAGGCTTCAGTTCCCAGGAGTTATGCTATGACTGAGAGGTGGTCACTATGGCATACCTGCACATGCACATTCCATGAAATGTATGGGGTCACTGGGGCAAGTCAAGTAGATTGTATCTAGCTTTACCATACAAAGGAGGTCCATGCCTCAAATTTGTGGATCTTTACACTGCTCAAGTCTCTACTTTCTATGATAGGTGAACCTCATCTTAATTGCTTACTAACAATCATATTGGCCTGGAAATCAGAAGACCCTAGTTCAAGAACTGACATATTTACTAATGATGTTGAAAAAGTCATCTTACCTCTTTGAATATCAGCTTCTACTTCTAGAAAATGGAGCTAACACTACCCCTATTGGAGGCTGAGAAGTTCAAGATCAAAGCCCTGGATTGGAACCATTAGCAGCACCTGCTAATGGGCTAGTGGAGAAAATATCTCAGTTGGTTCTGCATCCATCAAAAAGATCATGTACTGACTGGGGTTGAAACCACAGAAAAGACGTTGACTTGGCCCAAGCTTCAGAAGTTTGGAATCTCTCTACCTTTGCTGTCACAGGTCATCTTACCTCTTTGGACATCAACTTCTACTGCTATAAAATGGAGCTAACAGTAACCCTTGCCAGCAAGCAGTTAGATCAAATGAGAATGCAAATGTCCAAATATTCTATAGACTGTAACACTGTAGAAATTTGAAGCACGAGCTGGTTACTACTGCTATTAAAGTTCTTAAGAGTAGTTACAATTCTGGTGGAGATTGGCTTTTCAAGATTGACCAGGAAACTATGTTCACACTTAAAGCTATTATCAGTTTCAGCTTGAATACCACTCATTTATTCAAGTTAATTCAGAATGATTCGCTTTCTGTCACATGAATCAAGAACCCATTGCTATATTCTGAATGTTTGTTTTCCCCAAAAATTCATGTTGAAATCCTAACCCACAGGGTGATAGTATCAGGAGGTACTAGAAGCTGAGGCCTTTGGGAGGCTCTGCCCTCAGGAGGAGGATTAGTGCCTATATAAACGAGGCCAAAGGAACTCATTCACCCCTGCCACCATAAGGAGGTTTTAGAGGAAAGTGACCCTCTATGGACCAGAAGACAAACACCGAATCTGCCACCACCTTGATCTTGAAATTCCCAGCCTCCAAAACTGTGAGAAATTTCTATGGTTTATGAGCCATCCAATTTATGGTATTTGGTACAGCAGCCCAAACTGACTAAGACACAGAATGCATTTGCCCAACTAAAAAATTTTTTAATCCTGTGAGAAAAAGAATAGCAGGGACTTTGAAGAGAGTCGGGCCTGAACCTAGTCTGCCATCTTACTTTGCTTACAACACAGAACGCAGGTCTGCCTGGTGTAGACGTAAGAAGCTTTCCAAGCTTTGTGCCAGCCCTTCAGGGGAGCCTATGGGCAGAGCCAGGGCATCTGATCAGAAGGCGGGTGTCTTCAGGGTGCTCTTCCAGAGCAAGCTGCCCCCCAGCCTTGGCCAATGAACAGAACAGTCAGGACAGCAGCAACTAAAAATCATTCCCAGTCACCCGGAAATTGCTGGGTCTGAAGGAAGCTGACAGCTATCAAAGCCGACGTGGCTGGCTGACTGCTGCTCACCAAGGCAAAGAACGGCTTCCAGCAGAGGGCTGGGGGAACAGGGCTGAGTCCTGACAGCACAGACATGACCTCTACAAGTCACCCTCTTTGCTGCACTGTTGAGACTTAGAAACTAGGGAATTCATGGGAAACACATAAGAAACATCTGAAATTCCATGAGAAAGAGGGCACAGAGACGCTGTCAAACTCGGAAGTAGCAGTTGTTGTCATGCCCAATAACAAACTTTGCAGTCCTTTTTTTCTAATTGATATTTTTAATAATCCCTTTACCCACAAGCAACTCAGAGATATTAGGTTTTCTCTGTTTCCAGGGTTGCTAGGCAACATTTCTAGGCAGCTGGAGATATTTCCATAGTAAGCAAGTCATGTTCTACCACAAAGGCCATGGTTTGAAAAATACATTTTTCATCCATCATCTATAAACGCAGTGTTTTAATACCAGGGGCCTTTTATAGTAGCTAAAATGAGATTCCGCATTTGATAATAGTAACTACAGCGTGCTTTCGCATCGAGCCTTGATCTAATTCTGCTCTGAGAACGCGCATACACCAAAGAGTGCCTCAGTTTTTATAGGTACCATCAGTCGAGCATGGCCAAAGAGATGAATTTTTTTTTAATTAGAGTTTTTTAAAGAGCTTTTAGAGGTTGGTTCTTTGGCTTTTGTTGTTAATTTCAAACTGAAAAGATTTGTTTTCCCTGATTGTATTATTACTTCAAAAAATGTGAGACAACCTCTAATACAATGAAATTTACTTGTAGGAGTCTCTATTTTTCTAATTAAAATTTAATATATACCAGTGATCTGTACATTTTTGCTAAGTTCTAATTTTGATTGTCTTTAGTTGGATGCTTACAAATATCTTCAGTGTGTGGGATGCTTTAGAAAATTTAAACATTGACTGTGCCTGGAGGTATTTTTAAAAGTCTCCAGAAACCCTGGGCTGCATCTCTGCTGTTACAGAAAATTAGCTTTTAACAACAAACATGTTAATCAATAGTGGATTAAATTATTTCTCATTCTTTGCTCATTGCCATTCTTTAGAGCCGTGCAGTTATACCGAAAGCAGAGCCTTCTTCTCCTCTGAAAGGTATGCAGTGCCAAACTTCTAATCCCCAGGTTTCGAAAGAGTTACATATCCAGAGTCCCAAATAGTTTTGCAGAACTGGCATCCACAAAAGGACACTTCTAGAGTTGTCTTAAGCACAAAGTCACCCACTCTCTTTTCACCAGCAAAAAAAAAAAAAAAACATGTTCTAAGTCAGCAGTGTTGTTTGCCGGTTCCTCAAGATACTAAGAATAACAAGTTTACCACATGAAAACCAAACTCTTTTTGGACCCATTTCTCTAATGCTTTCTTATTTATGTAGCTTCAGAAGGTGAGTTGATTGCTTCCAAAATAACACATTTATATCTGATTCTTTTCTAATTGGGTTTTACATAGGTGAAAAACAGAGGTATAAAATATAATTAAAGATAATAAAATTATCTTCCACATGTATATGCTATCTGTTTTGAATTTTTCTTGCAGCAGTGGGTACTTCACAGAACAAAAGGGTCAGAGGCTAAGAATTTTATCTTCAAGAGAAGTAGATGAAGTGGCACATTTATGCACCAAGAATAAATTCCTTCTGTAATGGACAATTTTCAAAATCAGGCAGATCTACAGAATTAAAGTAACTTTAATATTTGTATTCTTAACCAAGTCTTTGTGTTATTAAACCACAACCACCATTAGGAAAATAATTTTTTCTTCTGCTAAGCAATAAAATCTCATTGATTCATCCAACAAATCTTGAGACCCTACTGTACATCAGGTACCTTGTCCGTCTCTAGGGATGTAAGTGAAGGGAATGTTTTCCCTGCCTTCAAGGAGTTTATGGCCCAGGAAGGAAATACAAATAATTAGCCAGGCAATTATAGCCGTGCAGTAAGCGCCAGATAGAAGTAAATACAGGGAATTAGGAGAACACAGCAGAGCTCAGGAGAGTCCTCCAAGCACCTCCAAACTGAGACCTGAAGGATCCACAGAGTTAGCCAAGAGGAGATGTGGGGGAGCCAAGGGGAGGAGGGAGGGCAAGAGTGTTTCAGACAGGAGCCATGAGTACCAAGAAAAGCAGCACCTCTCTCCTTCACTGGGGATAGTCATCTTCTCCCTGTGTCTGTGTCCTAATCTCCTCTTCTTATTAGACACCAGTCACAGGGGATTAGGGTTCACCCTAATGACTTTGTTCTAGCCAAATTACCTCAAAATTATCTTATTAAAAAAAAAACACCTTATCTGTAATCAGTCACATTCTGAGTTACTGGGACTTAGAACTTCAACATACAAATTTTGGAGGAACGAATTTAACTCATAACAGTCACTTTGGCTGTAAAAGTGGAGAAGGTAAAACTAGAGGATAGAGACATGACAGGAAAACCCAAAGAATGTATTTCCAGGAGGAGGGGGAGGAGTTGACAGCACTCCAAGTGCCTCCAAGGTCAATAAGAAAGTAAGGATTGGAATGGAATTGTCCTTCAGAATTAGGGGCAAGGAAGGGACAATGACTTAAATAAGTGCTGCTTTGGAGAGTGATGGGTGCCAAAGGCCAATCTCAGTAGTTTATGAACTGTCTGGGAGTTCAAAGGTGCAAGCAACCCCTCAGGAAGTTTATCTGAGAAAGTCAGGAGAGAGCTATGAGTAACTGAAGACAGAGTCACAAGAAGACTTATTTTGTCAACAAATAATTATTAAATTCCCACTGTGCACACAGGGCTGAGGAAGTACATTAGATAAAACCTTGCCATTGGCAAGATCAAAGTTTTGAGTTAATGGAGAAATTAGTAATTTCCATATATGATCAAGGACTGGAACACACAAAAATGATATCAGATGCTGAGTTTGGGAGTTAGAAGTAATCTATTTTTTAATTTTTAGCAATTTATTTAATGTAGTAATAATAAAAGCTATCACTAAGTATCACATATTAGGCAATGTGCTAAGTGCTTTACACTATATCTTCTAATCAATATAAAAACGGTATGAGGTAACTAATATTATTTTCTTCATTTTACAAATAAGAAAGCTGAGATTTAATGAAGTTAAATAACTCAGTGAAGTTCCAAAAGCTAGTAAAAGTGGACCCAAACACCACCCATGTCCATGCTATTAAGAAGAAATTCCAAAAACTCATTTCAAAAGGAGTATTTGTGTTTGGAAAAGGATGTGCTGAGGGGAGGTATTTTGTGTAACGTGGGGAAAAACAAGAGAGAAACTATGTTATATGATTATGGCAAAAGAAAAACTGTTTATAGAGTCTCTTAGCACTTATCATCTGCATTAGAGTGCAGACCTTGGTTAAATTCTATCATGAATCAAAGAATCCTGGGAGTTCCATGTTGTATGTACATCTCGCCTGCCAATCCGACATAAATTTCTCAAGAGTAGCTATGTCTTTATTACCCTTTGTTGTTCCCACCAAGCCTAGCTCAGTGGTTTCACTGTAGGAGTCTAATTAAGGCTCAATAAATGTTTGCTTGAATTACTGAATGTTAAACAAAAATATTGAAACAGAGAACAAAACAGTCTCAGTATCAAAACAAAGGTACTGGGACCTTTTGAGAAAAACATTCTCCTTCTGAGACACCATTTTCTCCTCCTTGCTTAAATACTTCGGGCCTTTGATGATATTTGACATCATTTCCTAGCACTGATTCACTGGCTCTGGGAGGGAAGGGTGAATCTCTTCTCTCCCACTGTTTCTTAGCAATGATAAAAACAGGCCATTTCTATCATTTTTGGAAACTGAACAGAGATGCTTTACTTCCAGCTGCTTATTAGACATATAAATCAACACCAATAATCAATTATACATCCTTGCTTTGCTGCTAAGATCACTAATAGAATACAGTTGGCTCATACTATTAGTAGTCAAGGGTCATGCATAAATGTAACAGTAACTGGTAGCTGCTTAATTCCAAAATCACATTTTTAAAGATACATTAGAAAGAAGCTGTTGTAACCCTTCATGCACCAAACTGGATTGGTTCTACTTTTGTAAATCCCTAATAGAATTTCTTCAATCGTTAGTAGACTCCTATTTGCATGCGTAGTAAGGCATATAATGTCTAATGATAATTTGGGTGATCATGGTGTTATAATGCAATAGCATTTTTAAAGCAAAAGTTCACATGTATGAGAGGAATTTTCTGTCTATAGACAACTGAAAGATTATTCAAAGGTCTAATTGCCTTTTCACATACATAATTCCAGCCACCAAAATTGTCATCTTGGAGGGAAGTGTTGAATAGTGGTTACGCGTGTGGTCTGTGGAGTTAGACTACATAGGATCAAATGCAAGGTTTACTATTTATGTGATCTTGGAAAGTTGGCCTTTTTTACCTCGATTTCCTGAACTCTAAAAAGAAATAATATTCAACCATAAAATAGAATGAAATCCTGTCATCCGTGGCATCATGAATGAACCTGGAGGTAATTGTGTTAGTGAAATAAGCCAGACACAGAAAGACAAACATCATGTGATCTCACATGTGGAATCTAAAAAAGTTGATTTCATAGAGAGAGAGAGAATAATGGTTACCAGTGGTTGAGGAGGAAAAGCAGGAAGGAATACCAGGAGAGGTTGGTCAATTGGTACAAAGTTACAGTTAGACAGGAGAAATAAGTTTTGGTGTTCTATTACACAGTAGGGTGACTATAGCAAATAATGCAGTGTATATTTCAAGGTAGTGAGAAGATTTTGAATGTTGTCATCTCAAAGAAATGATAAATGTTTATAGTGATGGGTATAATAATCATTCTGATTTGATTATTATACTACGTATACATGCATTGAAACATCACGTTGTACCCCAAAATATGTACAATTATGTTTTTGTTATAAACACATACATTAAATTTAAAAATAATAGTGACATTTATTTGTTGCTTTGCGGATAAAAATCAGATTAAAAATAAATAAAAAAGGGATAAAAAGAATTAAAAATAAAAATATAAATATGAAACATTGATATGTAAAACAGTAATGTAGGTGACTTTCTAACCAGAGAGACGTCTCATGTTTTATTGAAGAAAAATTGATATCACATAAAATTCACTATTTTAGCCATTTTAAATACTACAGTTCAGTAGCTTTTAGTGCATTCACGATGTTGTATAACCATTGCCATTATCTAATTTTAGAGCATTTTCATCTCCCCTAAAAGGAACCTCATACCCATTGAGTAGACAGGCAGTCACTCTTCATTCCCCCACATCCCAGCACCCTGGCAACCAGGAATCTGCTTTCTGTCTCTATGAATTTGCATATTCTGGACATTTCATATAAATGGAATAATACGAGAGAGAGTCAAGTAAATTCATTAAGCAGGAGTATTAGCATATATCTAGAGTTTTGAAGATAAATACCCAAAGAATTAGAAATAATTAAAAGGGTTTCTTCTGGGTAGAGGGGGTAGAACTTAGGGTAGAGAGAAGCAGCATGAAAGGGTGCTTTTCACTGTAAGTTCTTTACTGTTCAGCATATGTGTATAGTGCTTTGATAGTTTATTCTTCTTTTAAAAAGAAATTTTATTTTTAAAAATGAGGATAATATTAGTATTTAATCAGGTTGTTAGAAGGTTGAGTGACATAATGGACACAATACCCATGAAACAGTTGGCTCAGTGCCTGACACACAGGAGATATTTGATAAATGTTAATTATTAGTATTATTATTACCACTAATAATTAATCAGGTTATCAGTGTTATACAGCAATGGAAGCAGAGCCATTTTGGGGACAGATCCCAGGGCACTTTGAAAATGAACAGTGCAGTATTGTGTATTTTATAGACATACCAGTAATATAATATCAAAATAGTTCTTTAAATATAATTCTTAAGTTTCCTTCAGTCTTTTAGATGATTAGATTAATTTTGATTGAGAAGTCTTTAAAATAAAACTGAAAGCTTAATGGAGTTTTGCTACTTAAGTGTCATGCTGCCTAGTGAGTCATTGTTCAACCAGGTGGAGGGAAAGGTACTCTGGGCAGCCAACAATACATGGCAGGAGGATGGCATTGAGCTTCTGACCAAACAAAGGTCATAAGCAGAGATGTCTCTTTTCTCATTGTGACCTTCTATAGAAGTTAACATGTCAACACACTTTATTCTGGAACATGCTTTATCAACTCCACCTACTAAATGTTAACCATCAAAGTGACAGGTGAGAGGCATCACCCTGAAATGAGGCTAACTGCCAGCACTAAAGTACTGCTTATCACAACCCAAATCTACGCTATGAGCGGCAGGTGGGTTGAAGACGTGCAGAACTAGAATAGACCTTGGTAACAGTATTAGCCCATTTTCACACTGCTGTAGAATACCGTCTGAGACTGGGTAATTTATAAAGGAAGGAGGTTTAATTGACTCACAGTTCTGCATGGCTGGGGAGGCCTCTTACAGGAAACTTACAATCATAGTGGAAGGCGAAGGGGAAGCAGACACCTTCTTCACAAGATGGCAAGAGGGAGTGAGTAAGTGAAAGGGGAAGAGCCGCCCCCACCCCCTTATAAAACCATGAGATCTCTTGAGAACTCACTCACTATCACGAGAACAGTGTGGGGGAAACCACCCCCATGATCCAATCACCTCCCAGCTGGTCCCTCCCTCAACACCTGGGGATTACAATTCAAGATGAGATTTGGATGGGGACACAGAGCCAAATCATATCAGTAAACAACCCTTCAACTCTTAAATCCATCCTACCACATAATTTCCAACACTCTGCCCAGAAAACCATGAAGTTGCTGAGGAATATGCTGCAAGCAATAGAAGTAGTCGCAAGCAGGCAAGACAAAAGCTTTAAGGATTCCCTAAATAATAGGTCTCTTCTGGGAGACAAGGAGCTATAGGTATTACTTAGAAAAGACCTCAAGCCTCTGTAACTTGAGACACAGCACCAGAAAAAACAGAGCATGCCCCAGGTTTAAATCCCAGCTCTGTCCCTTACCTTAGTTGAGTGTCTATTAGATGAGGCTATTGAAAATCCAATGTCATAATATTTGTGAGGATTCATTATAATAATAATAATCCTTGGAAAACACTTAGTTCCATGTCAAATAGTAAGAGCTCATTAAATGTTAGCTATTATGTTATGTTTAATACTAGAAATATCTCTAATCAAAACCACATTCTCATTGAGGGAAGTATTCTTTTGACACAAACTGGACTGTTCATGTCACAACTGCAGAAAAATTACACTCTGTCAAATAGTTTTTACCTTAGTACAATTGAAGCCATTGGGATAGAGAAATCTGAAAGTAGCCTCACTTCTTCCTATTGAGCTTAAGAGAGCATTCGATGCTCCCTGATGAGGTGAGATTGGAATCTCTTTCCACTTCCCAGGATTCTTACAGTACCTGTGTACGAGTCAGTTCTAGAAAAGAACAAACAAAACAATCACCTACTTACCTTGGAAGGTATCCAAATAGGAAGTCAATAAGGCAGTCTGCATGATTTGGGAAATATAAAGTCATCCCTGGTATGTTTCTTTATAGGTATTACCTTCATTTGAAATATTGGTTTCAGTTGCTCTTGTGAAACATATTGGCTTTTAGCCTGTTTCTCCTCTCCAGATCTGTTACTGGGCATGAGTCTACATTGTTCCATAAAATCTCAAAGCTGGAAAGGATGTTAGAGAATTTCCAGTTAAGCCTTTTTTATGTTACAGATGAGGAAACTGAGGCATGAAGAGATTAAATGAGTTGTCCAATATCAAGATTAGAATATAAGCTTCTGGAATCCCAGTGCTAGTTCTTTTTTCTCTGTCATAAAGCTTTCATTTAGTAGAGATGGAAATTGAGTACATGGAAGATTGATTTTAGCCAAAGTACAAAAGGACTAAATGCTTTGCTAGTTATTAGCATCCAGAATTACTGATTCTTGGTTAGTGTTCTAACTACAGAATAAAACTCTATTCCGAGCTACCAAAAACAAGCAATTTAATAGCAAACTATGCTGAAATGGTTATGGTCACTGTTTATTCTCAACCACCATAGGATGCCAGGTAATACTAGCATGCTAATTAATCCTGCCCATCTGGCTAATGCAGTCTTCATAATTTATAATCCAAAGCCTCTGGGCACAAAGACCTATTAACATGCTAATATACCTTCTCATTCTAGCTGTTTTTCAATTAGTAATTATCTATAGACTGAGCCAATGAGAGGCAATTTTTCCAAGTGATTAGCACGTTGGAAATCACAGTCAGGCTGGTTGCTGATTAACATTCTTTGGTTTTGGCAGTTAGCATTTCTCATTCCAGCAAATTACTCTAGTGGGTTCAGTTGGCAGCTTGGGGCCATGGAAACCCAAACCTATTCAATGGCCAATGACTATTTCAAGAAAATATAATTATGGCATATTGATATGAGAACTTGATTCACTTGACAAAATATATGAAAACATTTGTTTCAGCTCTCAAAAACATTCTGGGGATAATTACAAAAATGTGAATATAAATGTATATTAGATAATATTGTTGAGTTATTATTGATCATCTAAGGTGTGACAATGATATTATGGTATATAAGTCAGATGTTGAAGTATTTACAGGTGGAGATTCATGATATCTACAACTTACATTCAAATGATGCAGCCACAAATTAGATAAATAGAAAGAAATTGTGGCAAAATGTTAAACATATTTTTGTTTCAAATAGATCTATTACTTTACCTTCATACAGAAAGATTTGTGCAATAAATGTTCATTTACAGAAAAGTATATATTATATATATCTAAAACACCATATATATAACCAATATTTGGATCAAGTGTCACTCCTTTAGTTTGTCGATGTTTTTCTCCCTTTCTCCCTGAATTGTTAAAAAAAATAGGATTTCAAATGAAAAAAATTCAAAACATTGTAAACATATATAATAGCGTCTACATTTTAGTATCTGTTGGGCTATAGAGATATCTAAGAAGTGAAGACAACAATGTTCCCGCCACCAAAGTGCACAGCTGTAGTACATATTCTTATCATGTCATCCCAGCTTTCAGTTGCTTCAAAAATGCCCACTGACACAAATGTGAATGTTTTAGAGGCATCTACCAAGTAGCCACCTAGGCCACTCATAACACCTATTATGCTTTTACTTCAGAATCACCTTCACTTTTATTTGGTGTTAGTCACTCAGGATCAAACAGCAACACGCTTGAAAGCATGGCTTCATATAGCTATAAACATAACTAACTTTATATTATCTTTTAAAATTCTTTTGAAAGCAACATAATTAACTGATTTGAATATAGTGGCAAACTAATAATGGCACTGAATCTACTTGCCATAAAAATAAAAAATGTGGATGACCAGACAAGTATTCCAAATATATCAAACCCCATAGCCCCCAACTATAAGGAGCTTTTATCAAATTTGTTAAAGATGTAATCCTGAACTAAAAGCAACCACTGAACAATGATTCAAGTAGCAAACATTCATTGAAACATCAGAATACCATAGTTGACATTTCCATGTGCATTATGAATCCTCCTAATATCTCTTGCTGTTGATAAGACAAGCATGAAGTCATGTCAGTGCAATACAATGTTGTAGCTATTTTGAAAACAGCCCATTTTTCATTTAATAGCAAATTAATCAGGCCTAGACACTTTTCAGAGGACTAAATGTCAATAAATAAAATGTAAAATGTCACATTATATATTCATCTGTACTTTTGATGACACTAATTTCTGTCCTTTATTTTTTCCTAAAGGAAACTAATTACTAGTAAAGAATTGAGAAACACATTGTTCTATATTAAAGAAATAGATTTAACAATAATGCCAAGTATTCTATAATTACCTCTATAAAATTAGAAATTATATACATTTCATCAAGGATGAACTACAAACCCTCATTATAGCCACTTGTTGGTATTCTCAATGCCCACACACACACACGAAAACATGCACACACACAAACACATGCGCACACACACAGAGCGAGCGACAGATACACACACATACTCTAGCCATTTGCAATTGATTCCCATTTTTTTATTTTATTTTTTATTTTTTTATTATTATTATACTTTGAGTTCTAGGTTACATGTGCACAACGTGCAGGTTTGTTAGATATGTATACACGTGCCATGTTGGTGTGCTGTACCCAGTAACTCGTCATTTACATTAGGTATATCTCCTAATGCTATCCCTCCCCGCTCCCCCCTACCCCACAACAGGCCCCGGTGTGGGATGTTCCTTCCCCACCATGTGCCCAAGTGTTCTCATTGTTCAATTCCCACCTATGAGTGAGAACATGCGGTGTTTGGTTTTTTGTCCTTGCGATAGTTTGCTGAGAATGATGGTTTCCAGCTTCATCCATGTCCCTACAAAGGACACGAACTCATCCTTTTTTATGGCTGCATAGTATTCCATGGTGTATATGCACCACATTTTCCTAATCCAGTCTATCATTGATGGACATTTGGGTTGGTTTCAGGTCTTTGCTATTGTGAATAGTGCCGCAATAAACATACGTGTGCATGTGTCTGTATAGCAGCATGATTTATAATCCTTTGGGTATATACCCAGTAATGGGATGGCTGGATCAAATGGTATTTCTAGTTCTAGACCCTTGAGGAATCACCACAGTGTCTTCCACAATGGTTGAACTAGTTTACAGTCCCACCAACAGTGTAAAAGTGTTCCTATTTCTCCACATCCTCTCCAGCACCTGTTGTTTCCTGACTTTTTAATTATCGCCACTTTTATTTTTTATTTTATTTTATTTTTAAGATGGAGTCTCGCTCTGTCGCCCAGGCTGGAGTGCAGTGGCACAATCTTGGCTCACTGCAAGCTCTGCTTCCCGGGTTGACGCCATTCTCCCGCCTCAGCCTCCCGAGTAGCTGGGACTACAGGCGCCCACCACCATGCCCGGCTAATTTTTTTCGTATTTTTAGTAGAGACGGGTTTTCACCGTGTTAGCCACGATGGTCTCGATCTCCTGACCTCGTGATCCACCCGCTTCAGCCTCCCAAAGTGCTGGGATTACAGGCGTGAGCCACCACGCCTAGCCAATTCCCATTTTAAATAGAAATGATGACCTACCCTCTTCCCCACTCCAAAACAGACCTAGGTTAACGGAAAAGTCAAAATATAGAATTCCAAAAATATTGTGTCAACATTTAACTAAATGGAATTTAAAAAAAAAAAAAACCACAAAGGTTCTAACCTAAGCCATGCCTGACCTAATAAAATAATCATTAAAGCATATGGGAGTAAAATGTGATATTTTTTTCTTTGACGTTCATGCAAATCTGTACTTCTAAGAGAATTCTTAATCTTATAGAACTTTATGACTTCTTTTGGTATCAGAAATGAGCTCAGAAAGAACAAGCTTAATCAGGATGGAGAATGACGTATGTGAAAAGAAACTGGAAATAGGAGTACAAAATTGGTGAACTCAAGAGAATTGTGCCTCAGTGATTTTTAACATTTAATCCCTTCTATTTTTTAGCACAGAATAATATTCTGACAAATCAAGTGAATGCAAAGATCCAAGATCCGTTTTCTTGAATAGGATTTTTATCTCCCACATTTTCTGAATGGTTTCCATTGCTTCTCCTTGCAAAAATCTTCTTTAAAACAAAGCAATCCTCTGAGTTTAAGATGAAATCTCTCAGTATTAAATGCTAATTTATTAGATGGTTATAAAACTGCAATACCGTCAACTCCAGCAATAATGAATCCCCATGGTCTCTCATTTCACACAGAACTTGACATATAATCTGAAAAAATGAAGAAACATAATCAAATGTCATTGTTAATGACATTCAGTTATTCCACCTGTGACCTGAGCTATTATAACTATTGCCTTACAGTTGCAACTCATCCAGTAGGAAAGCCAACTTCAAACATTATCATATCTTAAAGGTCACTCAGAAAGTATGCAATTATAGCAAAATTTTGTGATAGTTATGAAAATGAATTCTTTTTTTACTTAGTTCCAGATAATATTTGTTCTTTAAAAAAATAAGTCATAGAATATGAGTTAAAGTATTGTATTTACAGTATATTTTCTATCTCTCATACATTTTTTATAAGAAATCAAGAACATATTTTCCCTGTCCTTTTTCCAACAATTTTTTCTCTTCTCTATACAGCAGCTGCCATCAGCGACTTTCATCTCCATGGGACCTGCTAGGTATTTGCAGGTACATAGTCAAGTCCTTCCCCACTTCTTGCCCCGCCTCTCACTCCTCTCTGCCCTCTGCCCTCTTGAACTTGGCATGGAAATACTCTTAGGCCTCTGGATCACTTCCAATAATAAGGAAAGAAAGAGCAGTGAATAAGAACGCAGTTCCCTGTTCTTTATTAGCCTAAACAAATTTCCTGATTTTTATTAGCCTAAATCCAAGCTTTACATATAAAAATAAGCAAAACTTGAAAATAAGCTCTACCATTTAATTATGTTTAGATACTCATAACTTCCATTTGTTGAGAGCTTTCTACATGACAAGGACTGTGTTAGGTACTTTACACACATCTAATTTATCTGCTTCTTTCTTTCTCTCGGTTTGATTTTCACATGCAGAAATGCTCACTCGAAGTTACTATCCATTGAGGAATTGATAAGAAAGAGAGAAATATTAAGATTTCCATATCCAAATAACCTTGGCAGCAATTATTGTAAAACTGTCACTGGTACTTATATATTCGGCTAAGAATTCAAAGGGGGGAAAGGGGTGGGAATAGCAGGAGCAGGAGAAGCCCAGGAGTTTCTGGGCCTGCTCTGAGTCCCAAATTACAGGACAGAACAGGAAGAACTCTCGCCATGGTGATGAGGTTGTAAAGCAAATCTAAACCACAGTGTTGGTCAAAGAAGGAAAAGGAACAGATTAGACCAGTGACAGATATTGAGTGACGAAGCCTCAGTAGGAAGTTAGAAGAAAGAGAACTCAGGGTCCTGGAGAAGTGGGAACTGCAGGAGGTACGCAGATTTGCTCTTTGTACAGAATGTCAAGGCCTGCTGCAGGTTTTTATCTGCTTCTTTGAAATAGTTTGACTGTTTTCTCCAATGAGTTGACTGAACTGAGCAATTATTTTATTACAGAGACGATGAGACAGTTACTGTTAGAATTAGATAGGAATTTTGGCACCTCATTTCCAGAAAAGCAGCACTAACTCTTTTAAAAACTTTTTTTTCATTTAAGAAAGATTAAAAGTAATTTACATCGATGAGCACAAATCTTAACATAATACTGATGAAAAATAAGTATGTATGCTTTTTTTGTACTTTCAAAGCACAGAAAAAATGCTATATGTTGTTTATAAATGCATTTATATGTAAATAAAAGTATTGACATTGACTGGAATTACTTCTTTTTTTCTCCAACATTAACTTTTTAACAATGTTTATTTAGCAAAACAATTGTTCAACTTTAGTCAACTATGTTGCTGGGGCTGATGTCCAGGGAAGGAGGTAAGTAATTGGTTAAGTTGGTTGTCAGAAATTATTTAGAAAAAGCGTCAATAGATAAACATTTTTCTCTTGAGTGTTTTCTTACACATGTGGTCCAGTATTATTTTTTTTCCAGTTTATATTCTTGCTTTACCTCCATCTATGAATCATCATAAAATTAGACTCATCAAAGATTAGAATTAGTCCAACTTTCAGGAGAAAGTGATGACTTTCATTCTATTTAACCCTTTTCCAGTGCTTTAGCAAAATCAGACAGGTAGACACTGTCCTCTTTCATGTGATTATAACTTGCAACAAGTAGTAGCAGGTAATATGGTGACATAAGCAATTTATGATACTGTTTACCTATTCCCATTATCTATAACTAAAATTTTTAGTTTAAGCTAATTAAAAGTAGCATTATTGAACTGTTGATGAGTCAAATTTTACCTGATCTATAAATTAAAATACCTATAAAGCATTTTTATGCATAGATTGCTGTAAAGAAACAAAAACAGTGTTTGATATCCTTCGTAGGCCAAGGTTCTATATAAACACACAAAGAAAGCAGTATTTCTAGACATAACTCTTTTAAAAGGAGAGCTTTTTGTTTTAATGTGTGGGGATGGGGGTAATTTTTCAGTTCCACTGGACAAATCAATCAAAACATGCAGATTGATCTGAACACGGAGTCATAGCCTGAATCCAGCATCCATTCTGTGATGCAGAGGAAGTTTCTACATTTGTTAAACTACTCTGCCACAGTGTCTCATCTTTCTCAGAGCATCTCTCAGCATCATCACCATCCATCAAAAAAAGTACGGTGACTACATAAATGAGGGTAGCCATTAGGATGAACTATTTCAGAGAGCAATGCCTTGTGGAAAGAACTGTTTGCATTATACATGGCCTTACACTCAGTTCTCTCCCCAGACCACAAAGGGAAGATGGATATTCCTGGTCAGATGAACAGTTTATGAGGTTCTGTACTATAAAGAGACATCTTCAGGGCCTCGTGCATGTACATTGTAAAACCTTGAGATATTTTATGTTACAACATACATATTTAATGTGATAATAAAAAAAGCTTATTTGTTTCAAAGTATCTTTTTATCCTTGCTTATATAACCAAACAGCTTGATGCTATTGGCTAAATTTTCAAAACTTACTATTCACAGTAGCAGTGGGAACATGCCCAACTTCCACAGATATATAAATCAGATTTGAGAAGCAAACGACACATTCTGGATAAGTAATGTGACATCCATCTGGGAGCACAGTGTTGAGGATCAAGGAAACTTTTTAAGGCCCAGTGGGTTTCTTTAGTTTCATATTGTTTCTACAGGGAGATACTATTTTTTATTTCCAAAAATGGTTAAATTACAAGCCAAAAACTATTCAGTAAATTGAACATGACAACATAAAAAAGCAAGGGACCCTTTTGACAATAGGCAGAAGTAGCACTAAACTAGTAAGGTGAATGGACAAAATGTTGAAAAATCAGATCTCCAAATAAAAATTTACTTGAATGGCACCAAATGGCATTTTACTACACTACCAATATAGGCTACTTAAAGACTTGCCAGATCATCTTCATGCTATCTGTTACTGACAGTGCAGTTATTAGTCAGCAGAAACTCCTACTGTAAATAATTTTCTAGAACTAGCCTGAGAAAGTCCTAGAGAAACGAGAGCCATTGTTGAGTCTTACGGGATCCCGAAGATTGAAATGTAAATAGTGGGTTGAATATCAAGCAGCACATTATTTCACAGCCAAAACATGACAAGGAAGTGAACTTATGCATCAGTCTTGCCTCATTTTATTCTAAAGGTAGCCCAAAATGATGTTTATAAAGAAATGTT
Source organism: Homo sapiens (assembly GCF_000001405.40). NCBI lineage: Eukaryota > Metazoa > Chordata > Mammalia > Primates > Hominidae > Homo > Homo sapiens. The sequence goes on from NC_000014.9 coordinate 38,753,191, forward strand.
CCAGAGTTATAATGTTGAGTGGATCACTTAAGACATAGTACATTATAAGAAAAGAATAAGAGTCTCAAGTATTGTTGTATACTATTTGGAGAAAATTGCTTAAGATACTATTAGAGTAACTGCTTAATCAAAATATTTACCCACTTTGATCTGAGGCTATTTCTTCATAATCCAAAAGATTTGAGAATTTGAATTAAGTTTGGTAATTACTAATTTAATCTACACAGCAATCAAAATTTATAACTCAAACTCCTAGGCTAATTTTTACTACATTAATCATATAAAGATAACAACAGGTCTATTCATTTTACTTTGGGAAAGACAATTTTATTCTAATATGTGTTCTTGACCTAGCCTTTTTATGTAAATAATATAAATAAATCAGATTTTTATTGACGTTCTGTGAACGCTTTCTCAGTTTTTTTTAGTTTTTATCTAATTACATCGTACAATAATATCTGTTAGCATTGATCTAGGTGAGACGTTTTAAATGAAGCTCACTTACCATTTGATAGACAAACATTCAATAGTGTCATCAAAGCTACAAGAACTTTTAAATTGAAAGAAATAAACCTTTATCCTAATTTTCCATTTGTCACAAACTTCAGGTGGTTAGTGTCTTTCATAGTCTGACATTATTGCACATTACAGGACGATGTAAATGGCTGTTTTGATTTAAAACTATTCCCTAATCTAAGCTGAGCATTACTTTATTCCATTTACTGAGGATCTCTGTTTAACTGTATTTTTTATTTACATTCTTCTCTGATAGCCAAAAGGCACCATAGGAAATAATTTCAGTCACTGTTTCTTGTATCCTTTTTTTGGTTATAGTTACTTGAGAAAAATCCCAGTGAGCAATTTCAGAAAATAAAGAAAAGAAATATTTAATTATATTGTTCTTAGGAAAAGAAATGGAAGTATACATTTTCACATATGGTGAGGTAGGGTTATGGAGGAGACACAGGGTTCCTTCATTATCCAAAGACATTTTCTCACAATGATTAGAGAGCAAGCATTTTGTCCAAGCCAAGCTAATCACAAATATTTGCCCTGAAGATCCTGGAATCAGGAGGTATTATTTCAGGTACTCTGAAAATACTGATTGAAAAAACAACAATCATTCTAAAAAACAAGGAAAGAATAATGAAAAAATATGTTTTCTACCTATTAACCTCTTTATTTTTAGAGATCAGATCTACCACACCCAGATGTGCAAAATAAATACGTGTTCAAGGCAACTGGGATGTGAAGCTGGAGACTGAGAATCATGCCCAATAAACTAAGTAGTTTGCATTTGCAGTTAGTTTTTTAAATGTGTATTTCAACACCTAAGACCTCAGAAAATATTCCATTTTATTAGATGTTTGGCTAGATAATCATTTACCTACTCCACAAATAATTATTAAGTATATTTTCAGTAGGGAGAGATAGATTAGAGTTTAGAACAGAAAAGAATATGCAAATAAATAATCATAGCAATGTGATATAATCCATATATTAACTTTATGGGAACCCAGAAGAAGTCCTTACATTTCAAGGAAATGGCTGCTTTTGAACTGCATCTTTAGACATAAGTAAAAGTTCCCTGGAAAGAAAGGGAATGGAAAAAGAGAGAATAGAAAGAAGAAGAGAGAGAACATTCCAGGCAGAGCAAACAAAATTTGTAGAGGCATAGAGAAAATAAGACAACGTGGCAGCAGTTTCCTGAAAGATGTTTGGAGTCTGCATTTACTAGAGCAAAAGGGACATGCCAGGTAGTGGCATAACCTCACTGCAACAGCAAATTTGGAGAGAAGAAAGCAGAAGGGATACTCTTATCTACTTCCTTTTTCTACTGAAATATAATGGAAACCGCTGCTGAGGGAAAACAAGTGAAATCGGGAAAGTTGGAAATGGGCCTAACATTCTTTTGAAAGAAAAGTCTTCAGGGCTACTCATTATACGGTAAAAGTTACCCAAAGCCTCTAACATGGTACACTCCCTACAGATAAGTGAGGAAAGCTCTGGTTTATGGCATTAACATGCTGCAGAGAAAGAGCAGAGCCCAAGTATGCTAAGAATGTTGGGTTCTCTCCTTCTTTGCCATTCTCTCAGATGACAGGAAAGTGGAGAGAATGAAATTCCATCCCTTTCACTATAGCTTGAAGAGGGGAAAAGAAGGAATTCCTTTCAGGATATTTTGTGAAGACACTCAAGTCATCACCCATACCATATCCAAGTACATCAGGTCTATCATACCCCAGCATAAATAGGTTACTCTGATAACCAATCAGAGTAAACAGGCTACACTCAGAGCCACCCAAACTTGAGTAAGGTAAAAAGAAATGGCATGAACATTTTACAAACATATTACAGCAAAAATAAATAAATAAATAAATAAATAAATAAATAACTGCAACAGCCAGAAAAAGAAAAATACAACTCAAAGAATAGAAAGAAAATGGTCTAATTAGTTGCTTCATAACACAGGACAACTTAATATCAACACAGAAAAAGAAAGAGCCCAAAGATCAGCTAATAAATAAAATGAGATTAAAATTTGAAACAAGAAACAGAATAGATACTGGTGAAAATCATATTATTTAACATAGAAAAAAGGCATAAGACATCACAGTGACTTCTAATAGAAAAAAAGATTAAAGATATTTGGCAAAAGACAATATAAATGGAAAACATAAATCACTTAACACAAGGATAATGTGTTACAATGGCATCTAACAAATGAAACAGAAGATTCACTCAGAGATATAATACAAGAAAATTTCCCCAAAGTAAAGAAACAACTGTGTCTTCAGATTTAAAAGAATACACTATGTTCTGGGAAGTTAAGAAACAAACCAATCAACTCTAAGACAACTCCAATTAAGTTATGAACTTCAAAAAACAAAAAAAAATCCCTTCCAGCATCAGGTAAATAAAGTGTGTGGCAGCAGAGGGTGCAATCGTCTTCATACACACACACAAACACACACATACAAAAATCAGGTTGCTGCTGTAACATTAAATCACAGAGATAAGGAAGCACTACATACAAATTCAGTAAGAAAGTATAGCCCAAAAATATAACACAAGTAATACGGTAGCTATGAGCATTTCTTAAAAAGTTTACATGATGGTGAAATCCAGTTAATTAGGAAATAAATAGATATAAAGACCTTCACAATAAAGAAACTCTAATAAAGAGACTGGTAGTGAGCTTGAATCAACTTAAATATAAAACCAATCTTAAACAATTGTGAGAATTGTAATTATATCTGTTAACAAAGATTTTTTAAATATTTCTAATCTTTAGTGTTTTGAAAGTTCTCTTTTCCCATTTTTATAGGGAATCTAAGAAATAAAATATCTGTGTTAGAAGGATATTTTACTCATTTGTTATTCCACCTTTAAATTCTAGCAAAATTAATAAAATACCCTTCATTTGAAAATATCATCAATAATAAGGCTTCATTTTTGTAAAGGCATTTCTATTTTTCTATCATTCATCTTTTCATCAATGTACATGGAACGTACTTAGAATGATGTTTACTAATGGGAATTTCTAGGAGATGTGATTTAATGCTTTTCCACTTTACAGCATTGATTTTGGTAATGCATGCTTATCATTTTTACAAAAATGAAAACTAATGCACCATGGTGTTAGCAATGGCTAATTCAGGATTTGGGGAATATAGACTTATTTATTCATTTATTTAAAAATACTAGGCTGGGTGTAGCAGCTCACACTTGTAATCCCAGCACTTTAGAAGGCTAAGGCAGGCAGATTGCGTGAGCTCAGGAGTTGAGACCAGCTTGAGCAACATAGTGAAGCCCCTTCTCTACTAAAAATATAAAAATAAAAATATGGGCGTGGTGGTATGTACCTGTAATTCCAGCTACTAGGGAGGCCGAAGTGGGAGGATCACTTGAGCCTGGTGAGGTAGAGGCTGCAGTGAGCCATGACTGCACCACTGCACTCCAGCTTGAGCAACAGAGTGAGATCCCATCTCTCTCTCTCTCTCTCTCTCTATATATATATATATATACACACACACACACACACACACACGTGTGTATATCTATATTCTCTCTATATCTATATATCTATATATAGATATAGATACTGTCAAACAGGACACCTTTAGGATAGATACAGATAGATATGTGTATATCTATCTATATAAATATAGATATATTTATCTATATAAAATTTGATTGTCTTCACAAAATATCCTGAAAGGAATTCCTTCTTTTTCCCTCTTCAAGCTATAGTGAAAGGGATGGAATTTCATTCTCTCCACTTTGCTGTCATCTGAGAGAATGGCAAAGAAGGAGAGAACCCAACATGTGTATATCTAGCTATATAAATATAGATATAGATATCTATATACATATAGTATATCTATCTATATAAATATAGATATAGATATCTATATACATACAGTATATCTAGATATCTATATAAATACAGATATGAATACACCTAAAGGTGTAGATAGATTGATCTATATCTATCACTATCATATATATATATATATATATATATATATATATATATACACACACACACACCTTTAGGATAGATAAATATCTAAATAAATAGATAGATATGTATATAGATATCTGTATATATAGATATATGTATATATATGTATATAGATATAGATATCTATATATAGTATATCTATCTATATAAATATAGATGTAAATACACCTAAAGGTATAGATAGATCTATATCTATTGCTATCATATATATATATATATATATATATATATATATGTATATATATATATATATATATATATATGTATATATATACACACACACACACCTTTAGGATAGAGATAAATATCTAAATAGATAGATAGATAGATAGATAGATAGATAGATAGATACAGCTGTCCTGTTTTGACAGTATCTGTATATACATAGATAGGTAAATAGAGATCTGTATATATAGATATGTCTATAGCTATCTATATTTCTCTCTATCTCTTATATGTATATCTCTATCTTATATGTATATCTTACTAGATATATAGAGATAGATATGTAGATACATAGATAGATAGATATCTCTAGACAGATATCTCTAGATAGATATCTCTAGATAGATATCTGTATATATATAGAGAAATTAGATACAGATTGAGAGAGAGAGAGAATTCATTATGTAGCACGGACTATCCACAGTGCTGAATATACAACAGCAAAGAAAACAAAGTCCTTTCAAGAAACTTATGAGAGAGAATAGACAAAAACACATAGAAAGTAAACATGTACCATGTCAGACAGTGATAAGATAAGCTATGAAGAAAAAAAAAGTCTAACAGCAGAGTGACCATATAATCCTAGTTTGTCAGGGCTAGTCCCAGTTTATGACTCTTGTCCCCACTTGCTGTGTGATTGGGGCTCCTTTTCACTCCTAAAGGGGTCCTGTTTTGACAGCAAATTCTGTTTACCCCTGTGGTAATGGTAATATGAACCACTCTGGGGTGGGAGTCAGAGAGGGTGGCCAGAGAAGACCTTATGATAAGGTAACATTTGAGTAGAGACTTGAAGGAAAGTTCTGAGCATCACTTTATTGGTCTGAGACCAAGCCATGGAGATACCCAAGGGAACAAACTTTCCAGGCAGACAGAGCAGCACAGGCAGAGACTTTAAAGCAGGACATATTTGGCATCTTTCCAGACCACAAAGAGGGTCCAAAGGGATGGCGGTAGGAGATGAGGTCAGAGGAGTTGGGGGGTCAGGATAGAGAGAGTGGGACAGTTGTAAAGGGCCGTATAGGCCATTGTAAGTAGTTTGGTTTTTTTCTCCAAATGAGACAAGAAGCTGTGAGAGGATTTTTAAACAGGGAATGATTTGACCTGACTTATATTTTTAAATAGTTAATCTGGCTGCTGTGTGGAGACTAGACCACAAACAAGCAAGGTAGAAAGAGAAAGCAGAAGCGGGGATATTGGAATAATTCAGGTGAAGGATGATGGAACCAGGATGGTAGTGGTGGAGATGGTAAGAATGGGAAGAAGATAATTGTTCTTTTTATTGTTATTGTTATTTTTCTTCTTTGGACTTTTCTTTTTTAAATTTAACAAAATTAACATTTTTAAAGAAAAATACTGATAACAACTCCAAGATATATTTGAGTAGAATCTAACAGAAGCTAGTGGCCATTTGAAGGAGGTGGAGGAGGGACAGTCCTTTAAAAAGGTTTTCAAGTTTTGGTTTGAGGAGCAAGAATCATGCCACCCGTAATCAAAACAAGAAACGCAGAAGACATAACAAGCTTTAAGTGTTAGTACATTGAATTCAGGTGCCCACAAAACAGAGCTAACCATGCACTATCCAGGCAGCAGTTGTACTTTTGGGTTGAAGAAAGTGATCTGTGTCTGAAATATAAAGTTCAGGAATCATTAACAACAAAGTTGTTGATGAAGTTATGTGGTAATAACTGAAGAAGAGTGTGGACTCAAAGAAAAGGGAATGACGCGACGAAAGAAGAGCAGCCTGTACGTTGGACAACAAGAGGACATAAGAGGAGATGTGGAAGAGAATGGTGTCTCAAAGACTCCAGAATAAAGATGTATTAAAACTCATGGCGAAAACTGCAACTACTTTTGCAGCAACCTAAATACTCAGGAGCACCAAACTTCACATGTACTACCACTATGTCAACTCATTTGACTCAATATAAAGGTCCATCCAGCTCTGAGAAAGACGTTTACAAGTGTTGTAAGTCCCTATTTAAAAACAGAACTTAGGTGTAGCAAGTTCCCTTCCATTATAAACTTGAAAGAGATAAAATTTGAACAAGTCTTTGATACCACCTTAGTATTTGTTTTATAATTTGTATAATGCTCTTATTGTCTTATTTTAACTGTGTCTTTAAAAAAGCCTTTCTGAACATTATTGGCTATATAATCTATAGTATAATGCCTGCTTTATAATTAAGATCTCCATTTCTATCCTATTAAGCCATCTGCAGTCTTCCTTAATATTCTTACCTTAAACACTGTCACTCTGAGCTTGATTCAGGTCAAGAAAGACTGTGGATGTTTCACCTGTCCAACTCTAAATGCAGAAACAGAAGTCTATGAAAGCTTGCTTAGTTTTTATCTACTCCACTGTAAGGGCAAGTTCACACACTGCTGCTTTTTATTTTTTATGCATAAAAAAGTTTATTCAATAAACTTTCTGCTGAAATTTTCCTTTGACTTTAGTAGGGATTTAAAACATCCTTTTTCCCAGTCAATCTGTGATTGGTAGGGCATAACAAGAGAAAAGGATGCCCTGGCAAAGAGCCTATTTTCTTATATTATAAAATATATTCATAATAAAAAATGATAAAATAGAACAGTTTGAGCTCTTCCCAGTCACTGAATGTTATTCCATCCATACATCTACAAAGCCTCAGTTCTCATCTATATACCCTAAGGAAGAAATTGACAAGGTAAATTTCTCATTTTCCTAATTTAAGGCAACTGAAGCCCTAGAGTCTCCGATAATTGATGTTCATGGACATTTAGGATTTACACTCTTCAGGAAATAGACAATTCATACATTTTAACACTCAAATCAACTTTGAGTGCCCTTCTATGCCTCTATAAGTAATAAAGATGTGACGATCAATTTTGCACATTTTCTTACTGGCATCTTACATGGGCTGTGAAAGTTTAATAGGGGTCTATTTCTGAAAATTATGCTATGTTTATTCAGCTATTCTGATACCCAAGGATTTGGAAAGGTGAATCATTCATTCTGTTGCTTAGAGAGATATTTACAAAGAAAAGGAATCTGAGTTTCCTTCCAAATCTAAAATTTTTTTTCAAAATGTGCTTTGTTGAACAGGTTATTGCTTACCAGGTGTCCCCTAAATAATGTTTTCTTTTCTTAGAGGATAATTTCTAACTAGCACATTTGCAAGTGACCAACCTTTGTATGAAGAAATTTTTTTCTGTTAGCCAACTATCTCTTTGATCAAATGCAGTTGTGTTCATTTGGCCACACAGTGTTGACTTTCCCAACTATAAAATTGCACCAAAGAATGGACTTTTGTGTCCACCTGCTTCCTTCAGCCTGAAAAAAATATATGCGTATTGCATACACAGCATTAACAGTAAAATAAAATGAATGCACTGGCTCTGAAGTATGACCTGCAGACAATCAGCATCACAAAACTTGTGAGAAATGTTCATTCTTGCCCCCGCCCTCAGACCTAGTGAATCAGAATATACAGGAGTGGGGCCCAACAATCTGAGGTTTAATAAACCCTCTAAGCGATTCTGATGCAAATTAAACACACCTAAAGCACATTTTTTAAAATGATAATGTAGGGGAAAGTGGAAGGTGAGGCATATCCAACTAATTAAGTCAAAATTTCTGGGGCTGGGGCCTGGACAATTATCTGTTTTTAAAGCTCCCAGGTAATTCTAATGAACAGCCAGATTTGAGAGCCACTGCTCTAGAGACACCATGTCTCAAGTGGTGAAAATCACTCTCCAAATTACTGGTTTTGCAATTTACTTGTTCTATTTATTGAGGTGTTTATTTTATTGCCTTATTAGCTTGAGGTGAGAGTCTAAGTATTATTTGTATCCTACCCCCTGCAGTGCTTAGCACAATCCCATGCACACGCTTTAATGAGAATATATTTCAATACTTGCTTCACAAAGAACCTTTCTACTTGGTTCTCGCATCAAACTTCTGAAATAGGCAGACCATTATTATTTTTTTAAAAAAATAGGGCTCACAGAGGGTAACTGACTGACTTTCTCACAACTAATTACAGCAGAACCTGAACGACCAACCCAGATATCTTTCCACCACAAAGGTTTCTCCTTTTCTCCTATCCCACCTCCCCACTACCACTTCAGGGCCCAAATTTATGTCTTTCAAAAGGCACCCCTAGGCTTCAACATTCTCACCAGCTTCAGAGAGTTAGAGCTATGTCCACCCTGCAGAGACATGAGGCATCGTTCATTTCAAGGTGTTGAAATGCTGCAAATAAAGAACACAATCTTTGCTAAGAAAGTTCTCAAAAGGAGGGAAGTAGGTAATAAAATGAACATGTCTCTGGGTTTATTGAGCTTTACCACCAATAAAAAGAAATCATCAAGTGGATGTGACAGTATACTTTTTTCTAAAAGAATTTGCTATGGTTTTAATCACAGCTTTCAGATGGCTCAACACTTTCTGTCATGAAAATGTGGACCCAATGAAGTTATAACCTGAGTAGCATGCAAATATATCCCCATGAGGGCCATGCACCATCTGCAAGAAAGGCCTGTAAATAATCCTTCTTTTCCTTCCAAATCCAAACGATTATACGGTACACAAGCCTTATTTACAGATGGATCACTGTACACACTCTCATTAGAGGCTTCGGAGTGTTATTTCCTTTTTCCCAGCATCTTAATGTTGAATAATCGGTCTGCATTCCTCAGAGTGTGAGTGGGCTATGTGAAATATTTTAGGTCTTGATCAGAAGTGTATTCAGGGAGCAGCCTCTGCCCTTGGACAGAACCAGCATCTGTCTCGATTATCAGTGTTCTAAAGAAGTCAATCTTGAGGCATATATTATGTTTATTTCCAGAAGTTGTACAATTCCAAAGATTTTGTAAGTTTTTTTTACTGAATTCCCATAATAAAATTTAAATCTTGATAATCCAAATAGGGAACAAAGCTAAAGAAAGAGGATTATGTAAGATCATATCTGCATCCTTGATTCAGATAAGAAGATACGTTACCATTCAGGAGGGGGAAAGTCCATGAATCTGCCAGTGAAGATGTTAACACTGCAATGTTATATTAAGTCCTCTGGTGTCAGATCACACTCCCTCCTATGACCAAGAAACGTCACACCTTCTCCCTGATGGTCATCAAATAAGAAAAAGGAAGTGAGCTGGTAAGGAAGTGAGCTGGTAAACAAGCAGAAAAGGATATGACAGTAAAAATAAAATTAAAGATTTAAAACAGAAACCATAAGAAGTTGTTAACAGGATAAACCTCATGTAAGGAGCACTGAGAAGAGAAGCCAACATTAAAATACTTATTCATAGTCAAAATTTAGAGGTTACTAATATAAGACGTAGAATTAAGAGCCTAAATTCTAATTGTGGATCCACTAATTTGTGTGATCTCTGATAGTTTATTTCACCTTTCTATGCCTCAGTATCTTCACCTGTGAAGTGGGGAATGGTTCTTATGAAAGACACTTGGCACATAGCACGCAGTAATATTTGCTATTATTATTCCTTGAGGTCTTCCTTAGACTCTTCTTTTTCTGTAAAACCTACAGGATAGAAATTGAAGGTGGTTCTTTTGGCTCACCCTAGCTTTAACTTTGTGCTCCTGGCCATGGTAATGAAAGCTTCCTCTTCAGTAACTCACACCTCTGGCCTCCTTACTTTTCATGACCATCTTCAAACATCTTCAGCTCTTTTCCTCCCTTATGCTTAATATATAAGTTGCAAAGACTTTCAAGTCTAACTTATTTTAGTTGTACAGGAACTCTATCCTGCAGATTATGCAAGAAAATGAATGAGTTTTGCTAACATAGGGTATAAAAATCATATGTAACTTTCAAATCTACAGTAAATCAAGGGCTACTACATCTGGAAAGACTGCCAGCAGGGATGAGCTGACATCACTTGCATTTATTTTGTAGAAGAAATACCCAGGTCAAAATAACTAATATTTAAGTTGGACCCAAGAACTACTGAGGTTCAGGACAAGATTTAAATAGCTGGGCTACATGATGTATGTATACCCCAAGACAAGCATCCTCCAAATTCCACTGTGTTATTTATATCCAATATTTTTCCTCTTCTGTAATGTTAATCTACTCAGTAAATATCTAAAAATAAAGCTTAAGAGAGGTTCCAAGATGGCCAAATAGGAACAGCTCCAGTCTACAGTTCCCAACATGAGTGATGCAGAAGACGGGTGATTTCTGCATTTCCAACTGAGGTACCAGGTTCATCTCGCTGTGGCTTGTTGGACAGTGGGTGCAGCCCACGGAGTGTGAGCCAAAGCAGAGAGGGGCATCACCTCACCCAGGAAGCGCAGGGAATTCCCTTTCCTAGCCAAGGTAAGCCATGACAGATGGTACCTGGAAAATTGGGATACTCCCACCCTAATACTGCACTTTTAAAAAGGTCTTAGCAAATGGCACACCAGGAGATTATATCCCATGCCTGGCTCGGAGGGTCCCATGCCCATGGAGCCTCACTCACTGCTAGCACAAAAGTCTGAGATTGAACTGCAAGGTGGCAGTGAGGCTGGAGGAGGGGCGCCCGCCATTGCTGAGGCTTGTGTAGGTAAACAAAGCCACCAGGAAGCTTGAACTGGGTGGAGCCCACCACAGCTCAAGGAGGCCTGCCTGCCTCTGTAGACTCCACCTCTGGGTACAGGGCATAGCTGAACAAAAGGTAGCAGAAACTTCTGCAGACTTAAACGTCCCTGTCTGACAGCTTTGAAGAAGTAATGGTTCTCCTAGCACAGAGTTTGAGATCTGAGAACGGACAGACTGCCTCCTCAAGTGGGTCCCAGATCCCCGAGTAGCCTAACTGGGAGACACCTCCCAGTAGGGGCCGACTGACACCTCATACAGCCTGGTGCCCCTCTGAGACGAAGCTTCCACAGGAAGGATCAGGCAGCAACATTTGCCGTTCTGCAATATTTGCTGTTCTGCAACCTCCACTGGTGATACCCAGGCAAAAAGGGTCTGGAGTGGACCGCCAGCAAACTCCAACTGATTTGCAGCTGATGGTCCTGACTGCTAGAAGGAAAACTAACAAACAGAAAGGACATCCACACCAAAACCCCATCTATACGTCACCATCATCAAAGACCAAAGGTAGATAAAACCACAAAGTTAGGGAGAAACCAGAGCAGAAAAGCTGAAAATTGTAAAAATCAGAGCACCTCTTCTCCTCCAAAGGAATGCAGCTCTTCGCCAGCAATGGAACAAAGCTAGACAGAGAACGATTTTGACAAGGTAAGAGAAGAAGGCTTCAGACAATCGGTAGTAATAAACTTCTCCGAGCTAAAGGAAGATGTTTGAACCCATCGCAAAGAAGCTAAAAACCTTGAAAAAAGTTGGATGAATGGCTAACTAGAATAAATAGCACAGAGAAGACCTTAAATGACCTGATGGAGCTGAAAACCATGGCACGAGAACTACGTGACACATGCACAAGCTTCAGTAACCAAGTCGATCAACTGGAAGAAAGGGTATCAGTGAGTGAAGATCAAACTAATGAAATGAAGCGAGAAGAGAAGTTTAGAGAAAAAAGAGTAAAAAGAAATGAAAAAACACTCCAAGAAATATGGGACTATGTGAAAAGACCAAATCGACATCTGATTGGTGTACCTGAAAGTGAAGGGGAGAGTGGAACCAAGTTGGAAAACACTCTGCAGGATATCATCCAGGAGAACTTCCCCAACCTAGCAAGGCAGGCCAACATTCAAATTCAGGAAATACAGAGAATACCACAAAGATACTCCTAAAGAAGAGCAACTCCAAGACACGTAATTGTCAGATTCACCAAAGTTGAAATGAAGGAAAAAATGTTAAGGGCCGCCAGAGAGAAAGGTCGGGTTACTCACAAAGGGAAGCCCATCAGACTAACAGTGGAGTTCTCGGCAGAAACTATACAAGCCAGAAGAGAGTGGGGGCCAATATTCAACATTCTTTTTTTTTCCTTTTTTTTTTTTTTTTGAGATGGAGTCTCACTCTATCACCCAGGCTGGAGTGCAGTGGCATGATCTCGGCTCACTGCAAGCTCCGCCCCCCAGGTTCACACCATTCTCCTGCCTCAGCCTTCCGAGTAGCTGGGACTACAGGCGCCCACCACCACGCCCAGATAATTTTTTGTATTTTTAGTAGAGACGGGGTTTCACTGTGTTAGCCAGGATGATCTCAGGCCCCTGACCTCGTGATCTGCCTGCCTCGGCCTCCCAAAGTGCTGGGATTACAGGTGTGAGCCACCACGCCCGGCCTCAACATTCTTAAAGAAAGAAATTTTCAACCCAGAATTTCATATCCAGCCAAACTAAGCTTCATAAGTGAACGAGAAATAAAATCCTTTACAGACAAGCAAATGCTGAGAGATTTTGTCACCACCAGGCCTGCCCTAAAAGAGCTCCTGAAGGAAGCACTAAACATAGAAAGGAACAAACAGTACCAGCCACTACAAAAACATGCCAAACTGTAAAGACCATCGATGCTAGGAAGAAACTGCATCAACTAACGAGCAAAATAAACAGCTAACATCATAATGACAGGATTAAATTCACACATAACAATATTAACCTTAAATGTAAATGAGCTAAATGCTCCAATTAAAAGATACAGACTGGCAAATTGGATAAAGAGTCAAGACCCATCAGTGTGCTGTATTCAGGAGACCCATCTTACAAGCAGAGACACACATAGGCTCAAAATAAAGGGATGGAGGAAGATCTACCAAGCAAATGGAAAAAAAAAAAAAAAGGCAGGGGTTGCAATCCTAGACGCTGATAAAACAGATTAAGCCAACAAAGATCAAAAGACAAATAAGGCCGTTACATAATGGTAAAGGGATCAATTCAACAAGAAGAGCTAACTATCCTAAATATATATGCACCCAATACAGGAGCACACAGATTCGTAAAGCAAGTTCTTAGAGACCTACAAAGAGACTTAGACTCCCACACAATAATAATGGGAGACTTTAACACCCCACTGTCAACATTAGACAGATCAATGAGACAGAAAGTTAACAAGGATATCCAGGAACTGAACTCAGCTCTGCATCAAGCAGACCTAATAGACATCTACAGAATTCTCCACCCCAAATTAACAGAATATACATTCTTCTCAGCACCACACTGCACTTATTCCAAAATTGACCAAGTAGTTGGAAGTAAAGCACTCCTCAGCAAATGCAAAAGAACAGAAATTATAACAAACTGTCTCTCAGACCACAGTGCAATCAAACTAGAACTCAGGATTAAGAAACTCACTCAAAACCACTCAACTACATGGAAACTGAACAGCCTGCTCCTGAATGACTACTGGGTACATAACGAAATGAAGGCAGAAATAAAGATGTTCTTTGAAACCAATGAGAACAAAGACACAACATACCAAAATCTCTGGGACACATTTAAAGCACTGTGTAGAGGGAAATTTATAGCACTAAATGCCCACAAGAGAAAGCAGGAAAGATCTAAAGTCAACACCCTAACATCACAATTAAAAGAACTAGAGAAGCAAGAGCAAACACATTCAAAAGCTAGCAGAAGGCAAGAAACAACTAAGATCAGAGCAGAACTGAAGGAGACAGAGACACAAAAAGCCTTCAAAAAATCAATGAATCCAGGAGCTGGTTTTTTGAAAAGATCAACAAAATTGATAGACCGCTAGCAAGACTAATAAAGAAGAAAAGAGAGAAGAATCAAATAGACACAATAAAAAATGACAAAAGGGATATCACCACCTATCCCACAGAAATACAAACTACCATCAGAGAATACTATAAACACTTCTACACAAATAAACTAGAAAATCTACAAGAAATGGATAAATTCCTGGACACATACGCACTCCCAAGACTAAACCAGGAAGAAGTTGAATCCCTGAATAGACCAATAACAGGCCCTGAAATTCAGGCAATAATTAATAGCCTACCAACCAAAAAAAGTCCAGGACCAGATGGATTCACAGCCAAATTCTACCAGAGGTACAAAGAGGAGCTGGTACCACTCCTTCTGAAACTATTCCAATCTATAGAAAAAGAGGGAATCCTCCCTAACTCATTTGATGAGGCCAGCATCATCCTGATACCAAAGCCTGTCAGAGAGACAACAAAAAAAAGAGATTTTTAGACCAATATCCCTGATGAACATCGATGTAAAAATCCTCAATAAAATACTGGCAGCCTGGGCGACAGAGCAAGACTCCGTCTTAAAAATAAAATAAAATAAAAAATAAAAGTGGCGATAATTAAAAAGTCAGGAAACAACAGGTGCTGGAGAGGATGTGGAGAAATAGGAACACTTTTACACTGGTGGTGGGACTGTAAACTAGTTCAACCATTGTGGAAGACAGCGTGATGATTCCTCAAGGGTCCAGAACTAGAAATACCATTTGACCCAGCCATCCCATTACTGGGTATATACCCAAAGGATTATAAATCATGCTGCTATAAAGGCACATGCACACGTGTGTTTATTGCGGCACTATTCACAATAGCAAAGACCTGGAACCAACCCAAATGTCCATAAATGATAGACTGGATTAAGAAAATGTGGCACATATACACCATGGAATACTATGCAGCCATAAAAAAGGATGAGTTCATGTCCTTTGTAGTGACATGGATGAAGCTGGAAACCATCATTCTCAGCAAACTATCGCAAGGACAAAAAACCAAACACCGCATATTCTCACTCATAGGTGGCAATTGAACAATGAGAACACCTGGACACACGGTGGGGAACATCACACACTGGGGCCTGTTGTGGGGTTGGGGGGAGGGGGGATGGATAGCATTAGGAGATATACCTAATGTAAATGACGAGTTAATGGGTGTAGCACACCAACATGGCACAAGTATACTTATGTAACAAACCTGCACGTTGTGCACATGCACCCTAGAACTTAAAGTATAATTAAAATAAGTAAATAAATAAAAATAAAGCTTAGTATAAACTTGATATATGGTCTAATCAACTCTTCAATCTGACCATAATCAATATGTTTTAAAGCCAGGATTCTGGCCATGTTTTTAAGAATTGGTGCTACCTATTTCTTTCTAAAACTAATATTCATGGTCCTATGTATTAGCTAAGCTTCTTCCAAAATGTTCGTGTATCTATAGTGAAGTAAAAAACAACCGAATATTTATTTAGGAAACTTCCCGATGTCTTTTTCAGTGCTGAGTTAATAATTAATCTGACTCTGAGACACAAGAGAGAAAAAAATGTTAATATATTAGTGCGATTCTGACTGGATTTAATTTTTAAATTATCTCAAAGAGCTCAATAGCATGTTGGTGATTTATAGAGCAATTTCTATGTGAACAGCTATTAGACTCCTAGTGACAATCCAACAGATGAGACATCCTGTTTTATGAAGAAAGGAAGGAGTAGTCAGAGAGACCTGAGGTGATTTCTATTTATTTTCCTTTTTGGAATAAGCAAAACTAGTGTTTCTTTGCATACCCATTCTTCTAGACAAACATTTCTCAAGTGGCATTCCACAAAATGCCAATCTTTCCACATTTGCCACTGTAAAACTGAAGGGTTATTCTGCTTCTATTGGGGATATGCTGGAATACAGGGAATGATAATAAAATGAAAACTTCTGAAGAAGATGATTAGGTGAGACCAGTTCCACAATTTACTTGTTGGAATCATCTCCATTACCTCTCATACATTCAAAAGCCTGCTTGGGGTACAGCCTAGGGTTTGGTAGTGCAGAATGTCAACACGTACTAATCCTAGATCCAATCCCTATTCTGGAGTCTCTGTTATGTCATTATATATTATGGTGATAGTGATACCTATTTTCTAGAGTCACTATGAAGATTATTTTGGATAATTCATGTAAAAAGCCATCCATATAATGGGTACTCAATAAAGAACATACATTTTCCTACTTTCTGTGCTTTTATTTCCTTCAGTGCGTTTTTTCCAATTAATTTTATTTATTACTTGAGTTAGATAAGTGTGAAATATTAAGTTAATTCTTGGGATATCTGAATAATTAAAGTGAGGGGTAGGCTGAGGAAGAACCCAATAATAGGGTTAGATGGAGTCTAAGATCACTGGGAAAAAATCATAGCATCTTCGACTTATAAGGATCTATATCTCACAAGAAAGTAAAGATTGTTGGAAAGCATTGAATGGGATTTGAAAGCAAGACTAAATTAAGCCATAGAGCAGACATTTTATCTGTGTCTGTGCATACCAAGCAAAATGAAAGATTAACAGGAATCACTTAGATAACAAATCAGCAGAACAGGGCCTTTCTTTCCTCAAATAGTCACATATTTCAGAACAATAGTGTATTCTCTTCAATTATTCAGTAATTGCTTCAATTCTGTAATTCGTGTGCTACACATATAGATATGTCCTATTTCTCTGAGATTCTACAAAGAAGAAAATGGCTGCTTAGTTGTACTCTGGTCATGAAAAAGCAATTTAAAAAGCAATCAAGCCATTTGGTTAAAGGCAGACCAGGAGAGTGCAAATCTAAGATTATAGAGCACTTTTATGAGTCATCCAGGGCTCAAAGAATATTGCAGCTTTAGGATCAACCTAAAGAACATATCCCAAATTTTATGGCCTCTATGTAGTTAAGGAAATACAATTTCACTCTTTCCTTCTGCCCAGGCACTACACAAGATTATTTATCAGGTGGGAGGCAGAAGAAATAGACAAACTCCTAAGGCCTTTTCCCATCAAAGTCTGCTTTGTTCAAAGGTCCATTTCCCTTTATTAGCCTGCACTCTTAGGCTATGGCTGTAAACAGAATAAACAGTACAACTGAGGCTACTATCCAAGTAGTTCATTTCTAAAACTCCTGCTTTCATTGCAAATGTCTCAGTGCTTTTTGCCCTAAATTATACATATACTATCATAATTTTATATTACATTTCATTTTCCATGTATAGATAGACAGACTTATGTTAACTAAGGAGTTCATCTAAGATTATAACGTATTCTAAAAACAAAAAAAGATTATAATGTATTCTGTTTGCTATGCTTGGTAATGAAGAACAAGGCATTGAATTACAAAGTTCCTAAAGTCATTGACATGGCAAGATGAATTCCATTCTGGTCAGTAAAAAGAGAGTTTATTTTTCTAAGGTCCTGAAAATCAAGCTAAGTTTGTATAATTCATGAGGTTTTGTTTAAATTATTTTTAAAAGCAGAATTATATGTAGGTCAAAAGCTAAATGACATTATTTTTGAAATACATTTTCTGTCTTATCCCTTGATATGTAGTTTCATTCCTATTGTCACTATCTTAGTTCAGATCTTGACTTTTTCTTATCATGACTATTGTGATGGTCTTTTAACTGGTCGTAACGTCTCCCAGCTTACACCCTTCCAATCTATCAGTTCATGCTGCCACCACATTTTTAAATAAAAACCCCAATAATAAAAGAGTATCTAAAGTGTTTCAAAAACACCCCACCACTACTATCTTTATTGCTTGGAAGAAAAAGTCACACAGTTCCACTGCATGTATGTGAATACTTCAAAGCCTGTGGAAACTTCAACAATTTCCTCAGGCTCATTTCTCACCAATTATCCATTAGCATCAATCACTTACACTTCTCCAAGTATGATGCATTTCATATCCCTGTGTTTGTGTGTTGCTTCCTTCACTTTGTCCACATATGGATAACCATCTTTAATACAACTCTGGTTTTTCTTTGGTGTTTTCCCTGGTGTCTACCCATCTCCGGGATGAACTGACCAATTCATCTTTGGTGTCCCCATACTATGGAACTCCATTTGTTGAAATTATATTCAATCTTCAAAGCCAATATTAAATGTTTTCTCCCTAAATTGGATAACCATATGATTTTTCTTCTAAACTGGAATGCTTTAAAGAGTGGAAGAGGGCCTACTAATAGTTATCCTATGACAACAGATATAAACTGGAGGTATCCCACAGAAACCAGGACATATGTTTGTCCAATCCATAAAGGCCTTGTTTGATGAGCAAAACTGAAAGAGTCTTTCCACCTTATACTTCTCTTATACCATTGCATCCTTGCAATATTCTCATCTGTTTGTCTTATACCTATCAATGAGTCATATGCTCCTTAAGGGCAGGAATTATATTTTATTCATCTTCATATTCTCTACAATACCTGCCACATTTCTTCACATATAAAAAGTATTTCATAAATACTTGTTATCTTAATGGATAAGTGTGATGCTATCTATGGCAGTATGAAGAAACACAACTAGATCTTTTAAATGACAGAACTTGTGGATTTCACTCTAATTAGCACTATGTTCATAACTAAACTAACCGATCTGTGTCAACTGTGCTTTGAAATGCCAGCAATTTGTTTCACACATTCTTGAATTTGAGAAATGCTTTCTTTCTCCTGCATTGAGTTTCTGATATGTCTTGGTGATGAAGACAGACATCTAAACTTTCAATTTTTCCTAAATAAATTACTTTTGAGGAAATTATCTTCCAAAATTCTTTGGCTCATTTAAAAACAAATTTTGCTTTCACTTGTTTTTTAGAAATATTATTCCATTTAATTAATTCAGTCACATGCCAAAATACTGAGAAACTTAAGAAAGAGCTAAATTATTTGATTCCAAAATAAAAAAGGTTATAAGTACATACCAAAGAGAAATTTTATTAACTAATAATTTTGAAGATGTCACATTCAGTGACCAGATTGTAGCTGATCATTAGAAAATTTTTACAGATACATTTTTTCCAGAAACTTATAAATTTCTCAAGGAATTCAAACACAGCATCTCCTATTAGAATCTTTATTCTAAAATACTTTTTAAATATAGTCTAATGAGAAAGAAATGCTACTTTTCTTAATTTTGTATCAAGTGGCTCTGTGTCTAGACAGTTAAATACCTTTTGTGGGGGAACCATGAAAGCAAACCAGCCATGGACCACACAGTTTTCTGATTAGATTATGCCTCCAATGTGGGAGATTATCCATTGCAGATAATCAAATCCACTGTCGCATTTCACATTGCTATTGTCAATGGACCAGCAATCCAGACTCAAGGAAATATTACTTCCAATAACTTAGATCTGGCTTTTGTCAGTAACTATATATCCGCTTGAGGAAGAAACAATTCTACTTCTCAACCTCTGCCAATTTGTCAAGGCTTGATTATTTCACACCATTTTCTGAACTTAGAGTTTAATTTATTGCACTTGACTTAAAATATAAGTACCTAGTAATATCTAAGTTACAGGACTTTCATAGTACGGTAGACACCCAAGAGAAGTACTTAAAAGTTTTATTTTAAAAATATGTATTTGAGTAGAACCTATCCAGCACATTTCCCCCAGACCGATCTTAACAAATTTGCTCACTTCCCCTTCCTACCAACTGCAAAACACAACAAACACAATACCCGTGATGAAATAACATCACAACCCATCACCAAATGTCACCTTCATTCTCAAGCAATAGATGCTGGATACTTTCCAATAACAGGTAAATCTATTTTAATTCATTTATATCTTCTGCATAGTTAAAGGGAATTTATAGAGGCTCATAGAAATGCATACAATAGAATGGGGTTTTTAAATGAGTAGATTCCAAAAAATCAAAACTAAAAGAAACTAGGGTAGGGTAATATTACATCAGGATTCAAATTAGACACAGAAATGTATACCATAAGCCCTACATAATTACTGAAGATGGGCTGTAAATTTGACTCAGGCTTCTAGCAGCCAAAGCAAAAAGAGAATTCTTAGAGTTAATATAAGAGAAAACTGTGATTTTTCAGGAGAAGCTCCAATTTCTCAAATCTGATTTTTTTTAAAGAAATCTCCCCAAGGGCACTCATTAAGGGGATTTTATGAGTTACACTGGACATTGTTCTTTTCTTCCCACTTCTAGTGAGTGAGTGAGTGAGTGAGTTTTAATGATGTAATAAGCATCTGTGAATCTACCACAGATGACCAGAGGTAGGACCTTGACATTAACCTATACCACCTCTATTCTCCCAACCCAGCCCAATTCACAGACTCCTCCAAGAAAAATAACCATCATCCTGTATCACATGCTCCTCATTACCTTGGTTCTCTTTATATATATATATATGTATAGGATTTTATATGTGCTCCTAAAATTTTACTTTCTCCTATTTTAGTTGTTTGCAACTTTATAAAAATGGATATCATTTTGTACGTGATTTTAGGACTTATTCTCTCACTTAACAATGTATTTCTAAGATTCATTTATATTACTGTATGTTGCTATAATTCATTTGTTTTGATTCCTTAATAATTTCCATTGTGTGACTATAACACAGTTCCTTTGTTTACTCCCTTTGGTGGATGTTTGGGTTATTTTGAGGTTTTTGCTATTGTGAATAGTGGAACTGTGAATATTGTGTACATGACTCCTGTTAAAAATGCACAGGAGTTTCACTTGGTTACATATCTCAAAGTGAAACTGCCAGGTCATCAACTATGTATCATATTTACCAACATCCCCTTAATAAATATGGCCACTTACAGATAAGTGCTCCATAAAGGGTGGAACTTCACATGGTGCATAAAGAGGAGGACATCAGAGCATAATTCACTTAGAGCCATTCACTGCTCTC
Source organism: Homo sapiens (assembly GCF_000001405.40). Classification (NCBI taxonomy): domain Eukaryota; kingdom Metazoa; phylum Chordata; class Mammalia; order Primates; family Hominidae; genus Homo; species Homo sapiens. The sequence continues at coordinate 38,774,511 of NC_000014.9, forward strand.
CTATAATGTGACTTGATCCAGGGGTAACATTTATTGAGAGAAATAGATAGATTGCCTGTCCCTCTATGAATATTATTCCCCTAAGTGAGCTTTAGGAAAGAGTTGAGCAGCAGGGAACTCAAGGTTAATGTTTCTGTCAGGAACCTAAAAAGTAGATTGACTATGTGGTTGATTAAGACTAGAAAAAAGTATATGCATTTATTCCTACACAACAATGTTGCAGGTAGTTACCCATTGTTCCTTGAAGGCTTTTTTTCCAATGTCCTTTACATTTTCCTAATGGTATCAACTCCACCTTTCTCCTTAGCACATTGGACTCTCCCTGTAAACAAGGTGCTTCTTCTCTGAGCTAGAGCAGATAGCCAGACAAAGATGGGACAGAGGAAAGAGATTGCTGAGCAGAGAGATGGTGTGGATGAAGGTTTAGTGGTGAAAGCAAGCAAGCCTCTATGAGGCTACGCATGACAGTCACTGGTCTAGAGCAGAATTCGAATTGGGAACCAGAGAGAAAAAAGCTGGAGATGTACGCAGAAGCCAGAGATCAGGGAGGAGCTTGTTAAAAAAGATATTGGTCAGCATCTACTTGACTAATTAGGAGCATTGATGGTCCCAGCCTCAACCTGACTCTATGTTCCCTGTGCCATTCTGATATGAATCCTGTCATTTCTTGGTATTTGACCTTGACTTCTTTTTCAAAGGCCTGGTGTTATTTTCAGTGATACTGTCTCTATCACTTCTGGGCAAATACTTCTGACTAGGTCCTGCCTGGCACCCTCCTCCTCCAGCATTTCTGTCTCAGCAAGTGGCAACCAGCAAAACTGGCACCAGATAACAGGAGATAACTGAACATTTATCAAAACATATGAAAAAGATGTGTTACTGAAAAAGTAATGTCCAGAGTTTACTGTTCCTCTCTCTTGTGTGTATGTTTTTTTAAGTCTTCAGTGGAAATGACTGAATCTTTATTAGAATCAAACCTTAGTTATCTCCTGGAGGAGTATTCATTTTGCATGAAAGGACCAGAAGTATTCCCCGGCTTTTCATGTGTTGAATGTGTACAGCTCACTTGGAGCTGGAAGGGCACACAACTTGAGAAATCTGCCTTCTCTTTAAATATCCAGATCTAACCACAAAGAAAACATTTAAAATAAAAATAGGCACTCCCATCTTCTCCTTCCCAAACCATATACACTAAACAATCGGAGAATCGAGGGCAAAAGTAAAGCTCAGTATAAGCAAAATAGAGCTTCACACTGTGGAGGAGGAGTTGCATAAGCAAAGGGAAGAATTAGAAAATGAGACAATTTTCCATGTTCTTCTGAGTTCTCCTAATGACTTTATGATTGTATTAGAACCATTATAAAGCCCAAAATAGCTCATAACACAAGTGCACAAAATGGAGATTCAGTCGGGTATGTTTCCTTTATATTATCCACAATATTCCTTCCCTTAATTTCCATGGCTAATGGAGACTGGTCTAGGCTTTTATGATATTGTGCCTCTATCACTAGGGGATACTACTATAAAAGAAAAAGTTTAAAGGTGAGATTAAAAATGAGAAGCAACATAATAAACATTATCTATTCTAGAAGACTAGTAATATTCCAAAATTTGAAAGGTTTCCCAAAGATTACAGCAACTATCAGACACAGTGCCAATGAAAACAAGCAAATTGCTATGTATTCAGGGTGTATACAAATCATGACATCCTCAGAGGAAATTACATGGAAGCCTGAATAATAACACATAAAGCTAAGAGAAATTTGAGTCTCTGACACACATATCTCCTCTCTTTATATTTCACCAAAGTTGTACTTGTGAAAAAACTTGGGAAAAAAGTAAAATGATGAATTGAAAAAAAATGATCGGCATAATTCCTGATCTAAAATACGTATTTCCCTGCAATACCTAGACAATTCAAGTAAATGGGTGGGTGGATGGGGGTTCTTTTTGGTGTAAATTACCTGCATAAATGCCTTAACACTCTACTTCAAAGTGGATAGGTAGACTAAGCCTTCATATGCATGATACAGTAAGATGATGAATTTCCTTAATTGACAATATCAGGAAAAGAAGAGTGACCTAGAAGTGTATGCCCGTCCTGTGCCATCTAGATTTCATTCCCAAGTGCTTGGCTACCCTAACTGCCTATAATGCTTCCAAGTCCTTGTCTCTCTTCCCCACTTATTCCCTTTGAATATGTATGTATAATAAGGGCTAGGACAAGAACCCTACTCTGAACACTAAGTATCAGTTATACCTGCTGTAACCTGCTGTTCTTCATGTAGCCCCTGAGCTTGTCTACAACAACAAAGTACATCAAATTGCATTCATATATGTGTTAAAAGATAAAGTTAGACACATTCAAATATTGAAGAGTCTATTTATGAAAACAGTGATACATGAATCATACAGCACCAGACTACAAGCAGCTCTGGAAAGGATTTCACAGGGTAAATGCAGAAGCAAGGCAAAGAGTACATTCCAGCAGGAAGTTCCAGGTGAGAAGTTAGTTGGCTGTTTCTGATTGGCCTAGATAATGACCAGTTGCACTGATTTAAGTTTTGGTTTGCTTACCTAGGATCCCAGGACACTGGAACCACCTCAGTCCAATGCCTTCCCAATTAATGATCCTAAGATAAGTAACATCAGTGAATTGAAAATAAAGCAACTTTCCAGGACAACCTTATATTGTAGGAGGAAGGAAGACTAGAGAGGGGCATAAGTGGAGAGCAAGGGCTGAAATTATACCTAGAAGACCCTTGAGATGGGTCCCCTAGATCAGTGGTCCCCAACCTTTTTTGGAACCAGGGACCAGTTTTGTAGAAGACAATTTTCCCACAGACAGTAGACACAGGGGATGGTTTGAGGATGACACTTGTACCTCAGATCATCAGGCATTAGATTCCCATAAGGAACATGCAACCTACATCCTTCCCACGCACAGTTCACAATAGGGTTGGCACTCCTATAAGAACTAATGGCTCTGCTGATCTGACAGGAGGCAGAGCTAAGGACATAATGCTTGCTTGCCTGCTGCTCACCTCCTGCTGTGTGGCCTGGCTCCTAACAGGCCACAAACTGGTACTGGTCCATGGCCAGGGGTTGGGGACACCTGCCCAAGATGGTAACCTAGAAATGACAGATATGACAGAAGACCACACTGGGCAGCCTGCCCAACACTTACCAAAACAAACTGATATAAACAGAAATAAATGAAATAGAAACTAGAAAAACAATAAAAAAGATTAATGAAACTAAGAGTTGGTTTTCTGATAAACCACACAAAATTGACAAACCCTTAGCTAAACTAAGAAAAATGAGAGAAGACTCAAATAAAGTCAGAAATGAAAGGGAGACATTACAACTGACAGCACAGAAATCCAAAGATCATAACTGCTATGAATAATTATATGCCAACAAACTGAAAAACCTAGAAGAAACTGATAAATTTTTAAAAACATATAACCTACCAAGACTGAACAATAAAGCAATTAGAAATCTGAACAGATCAATACAAATAAGGAGGTTGAATTAGTAATTAAAAGTCTCCCATAAGGGGACTTCCAGTTCCAAAATGGCAACACAGAAGCAAGCTGGCTTCACTTTTTCCCACAGAAAACAGAAAACAAATATGCAGTGCTGAGATGATCACCAGCAATAGTCTAGAACTCATATATGAAGATGAGACAGATCCTAGGGCCACAGGGAAGTGAAAAAACTCCAAGCAGGTGACAGGAAAATTAATCTTCCATATCCACAACACCCCTTCCTCCATTCTGCCTAGCACCAAGCATGTGGGAAATTTTTCACCAACTCACAGTTTCTACACTAGAAAAAGTGAGATCGATGTGGACAACCAGCTTGCCCATCATCTTAAATTCCCTGGCAAGAAAACTGTCTCTGCCTTAACCCACAGGAAGATCATGAGTGTGTGAAGGGAGTAACATCCCTGAGGACAGGCAGAGGATGCAGCAGTGGGGGGAATACCACCTTCAGCCCTGAAAACTCTACTCTGTATCTCGGCCAGAGCAAATGCCAAATCAGAGTGGCTGTATGGCAGCAGCATGCTGTAGAAAGTGTGTTCCACAGGTCTGCTGAGCACCAACACCAAGACAAGGAAATGAAAAGCTGGTTTTCTGAAAAGATAAACAAAATCAACAAGTTTTAGCTAGACTAACTAAGAAAAAAGGGAAAGGAACCAAATAATTAAAATCAGAGACAAAAAAAGGAGACATAACAACTGAGGCCTCAGAAATACAAAAGATCGTTAGAGACTATTATGAACAACTATACACTAACGAATTGGAAAACCTAGAAGAAACAGATAAATTCCTGGACATATAAAACCTGCCAAGACTGAACCATGAAGAAATACAAAATGTCATCAAATCAATAATAAGTAACAAGATTGAAATCATAATCGTCCCATCAAAGAAAAGCCCAGGATCTGATGGCTTCACTGCTGAATTCTACCACACACTTAAAGAAGAACTAATATCATTGCACTCAAATTATTCAAAAAAAATTGAAGAGGAGAAGATACTTCCAAATTCATTCTATGAGGCCTGCATTACCCTGATATCAGGGTATCCAGCACACCCTGATAACCAGACAAGAACACAACAAAAGAAAGAAAATTACATGACAATATCACTGGTAAACATCAATGCAAAAATCCTCAACAAAATACAAGCAAACCAAATTCAACAACACTTTAAAAAGATCACTCACCACGACCCAAGTGGGATTGATTCCAGGGATGCAAGAATGGTTCAACGTATGCAAATCAATAAATGTGATGCACCACATTAACAGAATCCGGAACAGAAACTATATGATTGTTTTACCAGAAGCCAAAAAAATTTGAAAAAATTCAACATCCCTTTCAGATCAAAACCCTCATCAACATGGGTTAGAAGGAACATACTTCAAAATAATAAAGGCCATATATGACAAACCCATAGCTAATATCATACTGAAAAGGAAAAAATTAAAGGTATTTTCTCTAAGGACTGAAACAAGACAAGGATGCCCACTTGTACCACTTTTATTCAACATAATGCTGGAAGTTCTGGCAAGAGCAATTAGGCAAGAGAAATAAAGATCATCCAAATTGGAACAGAGAAGAGTATGGATGTTCCTCAAAAACTAAAAATAGGACTACCATATGATCCAGCAATCCCACTGCTAGGTATATACCCAAAAGAAAGGAAATCAGTATATCAGAGATATCTGCAGTCCCATGTTTATTGTAGCATTATTCACAATAGCCAAAGTATGGAATCAACGTAAGTGCCCATCAACAGATGAATGGATAAAGAAAATGTGGCATAAATACATAATAGAATATTATTCAGCAATTGAAAAAACTGGAATCCTGTCATTTGCAGCAACATGGATGGAACTGGGATTCATTATGTTAAGTGAAATAAGCCAAGCACAGAAAGGCAAATATTGCATGTTCTCACTCATATGTGGGAGCTAAAACAAGTGGATCTCATGAAGATAGAGAGTAGATTGGTGGTTACCAGAGGCTGAGGAGGATAGGGGATAAAGGGATGAAGAAAATTTAATGAGTGGGTACAATTACACAGTTTGATAGAAGAAATAAGACTTAGTGTTAGATAGATTAGTAGGGTAACTATAGTTTACAATCCTAAATAGCTACAAGAGAATAATTCAAATGTTTCCAGAATAAAGAAAAGTCAAATATTTAAGGTGATGGATATGCTGAGTACACTGATTTAATCTTTACAAATTATATGAATGTATTAAATTGTCACATGTACTCCCAAACTATGTACTTCTATTATGCATCAATAAATAAAATGTTTTTTAGAAGTCTCCCATCAAAGAAAAGCCCAGGACCAGATGGCTTCACAGTTCAATTCTACCAAACTATTAAAGAATACCAATCTTTCTCAAATTCTTTCAAGACATTGAAGAGGAGGGAATACTTTCAAACTCATTTTATGAGGCCAGCATCACTCTGATACCAAAGCCAGACAAAAACACTGCAAGAAAATAAAGCTACAAGCTAATATCCCTGATGAACATAGATGCAAAAAGCTTCAACAAAATACTAGCAAATCATATTCAGCAGTACATTAAAGAATCATCATGATCAAGTGGGATTTTTCCTGTGATACAGATTGGTTCACCATACAAATATCAATAAATGCCATTTACCATATGTGATGGTTAATATTAAGTGTCAACTTGACTGGATTGAAGGATGCAAAGTATTGCTTCTGGGCATGTCTGTGAGGATGTTGCTAGAGGAGATAAACATTTGAGTCAGTAGACTAGGAGAGGCAGACCCACCCTTAATCTGGGTGGACTCCATCCCCTGGGCTGCCAGTACAGCTAGAATAAAGCAAGCAGAAGAAGGTGGAAAGAGCAGACCTGCTGAGTCTTCCAGACTTCATCTTTCTCACATACTGGATGGTTCCTGCCCTTGAACATCAGACTCCAAGTTCTTCAGCTTTTGGACTCCTGGGCTTGAACCAGTGATTTGCCAGGGGCTCTCGGGTCTTCAGCCACAGACTGAAGGCTGCACTGTTGGCTTCCCTACTTTTGAGGTTTTAGGACTCGGACTGGCTTCCCTGCTCCTCAGCTTGCAGAAGGCCTATTGTGGGACTTCACCTTGTGATCGTGTGAGTCAATACTCCTTAATAAACTCCCCTTCATATCCTATTAGTTCTGTCCCTCTAGAGAACCCTGACTAATACAGCATATTAATGGAATAAAGGACAAAAAACCTTAAGCTTATCTCAACAGATGCAGGAAAAAAAAATTGACAAAATTCAAAATCCTTTCATTATTAAAAAAAAAAACACTCAATAAATTAGGTTGAATGGAAGAAATTTTTCCCAATTTAATAAAGACTGAATATGACAAACCTACAGCTAACATCATACTTAACAGTGAAAAATTAAAAGCTTTTCCTCTAATATCAGGAATAAGACAAGGATGCCCACTCTCACCATTTCTCTTCAATAAAGTACCAAAAGTTCTAGCCAGAGAAGTAGGCAAAAAAAGAAATAAAAAGAGTCTAATTGGAAATAATGAAGTAAAATTGTTTGCTGATGACATGATGTTATAAATAGAAAATCCTAAAGACTTCATGAAAAAACTTTTAGAACTGATAAACGAATTCAGTAGTTTCAGCGTACAAAATCAACTTACAAAAATCAGCAGTGTTTCTCTATACTAACAACAAAGTGTCTGAAAAAAATAAGAAAACAATCTCACTTATAATAGCATCAAAAAGAATAAAACGCTTAGGAGTAAACTTAACCAAGGAAGTGAAGATCTGTATATTGAAAACTATAAAACATTGATTAAAGAAATTGAAAATGACACAAAGAAGTGGAAAGATATTCCATGTTCATGCATTGGAAGAATTAATATTGTTAAACTGTTGATACAACCCAAGGCAATCTACAGATTCAATGCAATCCCTATCACAATTCCAATGTTATTATTTACAGAAACAGAAAAACATAAATCCTAAAATTTGTACAGAACCACAAAAGACCCCAGATAGATAAAACAATCTTGACCAAAAAGAATAAAGCTAGAGGCATCACACAACCAGGTTTCAAAATATATCGCAAAGCTTTAGTAACCACAACAGCATGGTACTCACATAAAAACAGACACATCATCTAACAGAATAGTATAGAGAGCTGCGAAATAAACCTACACATCTATCATCAATTGATTTTCAACAAAGGTGCCAAGAACACACAATAAGGAAAGGATAGACTATTCAATAAATGATGCTGGGAAAACGGGATATCCAACACATACAGAAGAATTAAAATGGACCCTTATCTCACCCCTTATACAAAAGCCAACTCAAAATGGATTAAAAGCTTAAACATAATACTTTAAACTATCATACTAGAATAAAACATAGGAGAAAACTCAATGACATTGGTCTAAGCAGAGATTTCTTGGATGTGACCCCAAAAGTGAAAATGGACAAATGGAATTGCATCAAGCTGAAAACCTCCTGCATGGCAAAGAAAACAGTTAATAGAGTGAAGAGACAACCATGAATTTGGAGAAAATATTTGCAAATCATGAATTAGATAAGGGGCTAATATCCAAAATATGTAAGGAACTCAAATTACTCAATAACAAGAAAACCAATAACTCTATTAAAAAATGGGCAAAAGACTTGAATAGACATTTCTCAGGAGAAAACATACAAATGGACAACTGGCAAATGAAAAAAATGCTCAAAATCTTTAATCATCAGAAAAATGCAAAATAAAGCAATGAGACATCACCTCATACTTGTTAGATTGGATATTGTCAAAAAGATGAAATATAACAAGTGTTGGCAAGAGATATAACAAGTGTTGGCAAGAATGTGGAAAAAAGAGAACCGTTACATCCTGTTGGTAGTATTGTAAATTAGCATGGCCACTTTGGAAAACAGTATGGAGTTTTCTCAAAACAACTAAAAATAGAATCATATGATCCAGCTTTCCCACTACTGAGTATGTATCCAAAGGAACTGAAATCAGCATGTCAAAGAGATGTCTGTACTCCCATGCTCATTGCAGCATTATCACAATAGCCAAGATATGGGGAAAACTGAAGCGTTCATCAACTATGAATTGATTTTAAAATGTGGTATATATACACAATGGAATACTATTCATCCTTAACAAAGCAAGAAATTCTGTCATTTTTGACAACATGGATGAACCTTGAGGACATTATGTTAAGTAAAGTAAGCCAGGCACAGAGAGCTAAATACCATATGATCCCACTTATATGTGAGATCCATTTCTAATGGATCAAGACACTTTTTGAGGCCAGGCATGGTGGCTCATGCCTGTAATCCCAACACTTTGGGAGGTCAAGGTAGGCAGATCACCTGAGTTCAGGAGTTTCAGACCAGCCTGGCCAACATGATGAAACCCCGTCTCTACTAAAAATACAAAAATTAGCCAGGCATGTTTGTGCAGACCTGGAATCCCACCTACTTGGGAGGCTGAGGCAGGAGAATCGCTTGAACCCAGGAGGCTGAGGTTGCAGTGAGCCGAGATCACACCACTGCACTCCAGCCTGGGTGACAGAGTGAGACTCCATCTCAAAAAAAAAAAAAAAGACTCTTTTTGATTCATATTTTCACATTGAAGATTTGAGTCCTCATCCACAGCTTCATTTTCCTCAAGAAAAGTCAAATTCATAGAAGTAGAGAGTAAATTGTGGTTACCAGAGGCAGGTGGAGGGAATGGACGGGGCAAGGGGAGACATTGGTCAATAGGTATAAAGTAACAGATAGGAGGAATACATTTTGGTGTTCTATTGCATAGCAAAGTCACTATAGTTAATAATAACATTATATATTTCAAAATAACTAAAAAAGAAGATCTTAAATGTTCTCACCACAAAGAATTGATCAATATTTTAGGTGATATATATGCTAATTAACCTGTTTTGGTCATCCCACAATGTATATAAATATCACATTGTACCCTATAAGTATATACAATTATCATTTGTCAATTAAAAGTAAAACAAAAGCCGGATATAGTGGCTCATGCCTGTAATCCCAGCACTTTGGGAGGCCGAAGCGGGTGGATCACCTGAGGTCAGGAGTTCCAAACCAGCCTGGTGAAACCCCGTCTCTACTATAAATACAAAAAAATTACCCGGGCACGGTGGTAGGCGCCTGTAATCCTGTAATCCCAGCTACTCGGGAGGCTGAGGCAGGAGAATCGCTTGAACCCAGGAGGTGGAGGTTGTAATGAGCCAAGATCGCACCATTGCACTCCAGCCTGGGCAACAGAGAGACTCCACCTCAAAAAAAAAAAAAAGTAAAACAAAAAACTGGTATATATTTTGCAGTGTGAAATTGCAAGTAGAAAACCAGTTTTAACATAAATTGATCAGAAAGTTTCACTATTATATGTGCATACTGTGAAGACACACACATACACAGAAATACATGTTATTTCATAGTCACTACTTAATGGTCAGCCCTTATGAAAGTATACAGAACACACTTGATTGCAAGTTGATGAAATTATTTTGAAAAATATCATTTTTCTTGAGTTCTTTATAAAGAACGCAAAATGTCCTGTAAGTAACAAGGCACTCTTAAATATTGAAGTCTCATATTGATCAGCTCAATTGCAAACAGTGAAGGTACCAATAATGTGGTATTTTCATTGAATTTGAGATTTCTAGATAGAAGAGATAGCATCCAAACTTTGTACAGTGATGGTAAATCTTATTGCCTGTGGCTGATAAATTATGAAATATATTTAAATGCAGTTCCTAGTCTAATACTCTAATTCTCTTCTTAAACCTTTAAAAATCCACATACTGTAGCTTCAAAGGTCATCCAGGATATATGCTGCATATACAGAGACCCATATTCACCATGAGTCACCACTGTTTATCACTCATCCCTCATTTGTTAACTAAGTAATAAGATCCATGTATATGGGAATAAATAGCATGTATTTATGTAATTTATATTTATGATGATGTACATATTATATTGAATTGTTTCATCATCTAAAATTCACATAAAAAAGATACTGGTCTTTCATACTCAAATATGCAGAACCAAGTGTGAATCTAATACTAAACTTCTATGACAAGAAGTTTTTATAAACTCTCTTCACACTTACCAATTCATAATGGGAATCATATTCTAGTCATGTTAGGGGTCACCTTGTCCATTTATATTAAATTCTAATCTGCTCTGGGCCTGTGAGCCTAGAGACCTTAGCAATAGATGAAATATTTCTCGGTAAAAAAAAAAATTCCATTTGAAAGATATTATTCTTTCTAGCACTATGCTCATCAGTACTTTGAAAAGGGGCTATGTCCCTGTGGTAGTCATTAGAACTGTTCACACACATTCTGTTTTCCCTTATTTGGGGCATGTGATGGTACTTCCCTGCCACTTTGAAGTTAGTCATAGCCCAGTGATCTCCTTGCCCAACAAAATGACTAAAAATTACATATACCCTTCTGTGTAGAAGCTTTAAGAGAAAATATTTAATTCACCAAGTTCCTTTTCTCTTGTCTCGTTAAGAACGGAAGCACATAGTGTGATAAAAGCTCCAGCTGGCTGCAGTGAATCTGTGCAATAACTCGCAATAGACATTTAGTATATAAACATTTTCCAGAAATAAACATATAGTGGTAAAGCACTGAGAGTTGGCGGTTGTTTGTTACTTCAGCAAACTTAACCTATCCTGACTCGATAAAGATTCTTAGTGGTTCCAGTAATTTCTAGAAGCCCACTCACAAAGCAAGTATAAGCCATCTATTTAAGATTCTTTAAAATAATAAATCACAGTAAAACCATAAATATGATGTTAAAAAGCTAAGTGCAGAGTGTTGTACATTAACTTCAGCAATTACTAGAGAAAGTCTCAAGCAATAATTCAAGTAATAAATCCAGATCATCACACTCTAAAAAATCCAAGTCTGATTAATGTCTGTACCCTAAATAAAGTTGAACATACTAATAAGCCAAATGGCAGATTAAGACACCTGAGGAAACCCATTAAATAGATGTATAATAATTTTTTTAATTTTTCTGTGTCTACATTCTCCCTCTATAAATTATCTCGACATGTCACTGCCATACACATTGTTGTAAGCTATTATGTCATCTCCCTAATTCAGAAACTACAATATAATCCTATTTTTTAATCAAAACCAAACTCTTTGACACTGGCCTATAGGCCTCCTCAACTTTACATGTGTTTCCCACCACAATCCAATGTACACCCCTGCCATTCTTACCCATCCACTGCTTTCTTCACCACACACACTATATTCTTTTCAATCTGCTCTACCCATTGCCCAGTCTCTAAACTCTTGTGATTCTTCTAGTATACATGTAATCTGGCATTTGATTATAGATGATGTTTCCATTTATTATTGTGGATATAAATATGTTATCGCTTTCTATCCCCATTAGACTGCTGGCTCCCCAAAGGAAGCAACCTGTCTTCCAATGCCTAGCAAACTACTGGATACATTATATATACTTAGAAATGTTATGTTAATTTGATGCAACTTTTGACAACAGTAGCAACGAATGCAAAATAGCAAAGGTGCACCAAAGCAAAAAGTAGAAAACAATGTTAAAGATTTTAAATTATTTGAAAACAACAAAATCTTGCTTATGCTTCCTTAAAAACAGAGGATTTATTTTTCAAATAAAAGCTTCCTTTTCAAAATAAAACAGCAGCTTGACTCTCACAAGAGAGGATCAATGTGTCTCCAGAAGAAAATTAAAGTATATGTGTGGATTTGCCCAAATATGAAATCCAAGGCCTTACTGGAGAAAGTGGAACTTACTGAGAGGACAAGGTATACTTCTTAAGAACTAGACAAAACATCAACTTTACTTATTAGGCAAAATGCATCCATTTTAACTGCCAAGCCAACCTGGAGCCTGAACAGGTAGCTTCACACAATTCTAATACACAGCTCCCTAGAGGTGCAGGGACAGAGCAGCAACTCAATGAGTTGGATCATCAAGTTCAGTAACAACCCTTGCCACAAAGACAAGTCAGTCCAAAACTCTGTTCATAATGAGCTCAGGGCAGAAATATTCTGTAGCTGGCTTTTCAGCCTCATGGTAATGACCCATGCTCTAAGGAGTTCATGTACTAAAACCACTGAGCTGCATATTCCCTTTGGTAAATGAGCCAATAAGTTTGCATTTAGAGAAATATTGATTTTAATATCACTTACACATGATCAAAGAGATTCTGGATGGATTTTACCTTCTTATATGCCTATAGTTTTATTAAATGTTATGAAACTATCTAAAATGTATTATTACAATTAATTTGTTCAGATAATAGACCTTTCCTCTTATCTGGTTGGAACAAATCTGTATGAAGGACTAAGAGAAAAACTCTACCCTGAAGGACTTCTAAATGCGGATGTAATTGTATCCCAAATTCTATGCATGGCAATATGTTTATTCTATGGTGATACATTTTCTTTTCTTTTTTTTTTTTTTTTTTTATTTGAACAGAGTCTCACTCTGTTGCTCAGGCTGGAGTGCAGTACCGTGATCTCACCTCACAGCAACCTCCACCTCCCCAGTTCAAGGATTCTCCAGCCCCAGCCTCCCGAGTAGCTGGGATTACAGATGTGAGCCACTACACCCAGCCTCCATGGTGATACATTTCTAATGGATCAATACTCTTTTTGAGGCCAGGCATGGTGGCTCATGCCTGTAATCCCAGCCCTTTGGGAGGTCAAGGTAGGCAGATCATCTGAGGTCAGGAGTTTCAGACCAGCCTGGCCAACATGATGAAACCCCGTCTCTACTAAAAATACAAAAATTAGCCAGGCATGGTTGTGCAGACCTGGAATCCCAGTTACTTGGGAGGCTGAGGCAGGAGAATCGCTTGAACCCAGGAGGCTGAGGTTGCAGTGAGCCGAGATCACGCCACTGCACTCCAGCCTGGGTGACAGAGTGAGACTCCATCTCAAAAAAAAAAAAAAGACTCTTTTTGATTCATATTTTCCCACTGAAGATTTGAGTCCTCATCCACAGCTTCATTTTCCTCAAGAAACACTTAGTATCCCCCATTTTTCAAAGCCTTTTGTGATCAACAGCAGCAGAAGTAGAATTTTCTGTTTATCACTCCTTCTGGGCAGAATTCTCAGCGGAAGCACCATCCAGGTCCTGGATGGAAAACCAAGAGGACCTCCTATGACGTGGCCTCCCTTATGAAGCCGCCTCTGGCAAAGACGCAAGGAAAATATCATAGGCCAAGTTCAGGACACTGCTATTTCACAAGTTCTGATTATGTCCAAGCAGCAAAAGATTTCTTTCAATATGTGCATTTACATAAAAATTGAAATGAAATTTGTGGGATTCTTATGAAATACATTAATGAAAGAAAATAGCCTTTGTTGTGATCATGTAATGTTTGAGGTAAAAATGTTTATTTAGCTGAATCATTCATGTATTTGCCTTGCTTCTCCATTTCTCTTTGTGAAGATCATTACTGCCATTCAATTTGCTTGAAATGTGCTAGGATCCTTTCAGGACAGGCAAGCATCTTGGCAAAGACGTTATTGTATCGTCAGATCACCTTGATAATATATTCGTGCAGACAAACTCATACTTCTGTTAAACAATTCTATTCCCCCTAGAGGTGCTTTATAATTCATCTATAACTTAAATATTTAGAAGACAAGATATTAATAATAAAAAGGAACACCAAAACAAATCACAAGGCCATCTGATGATTTTCATAAAAGAAGAACATAATTTTTAAACTACCATTGTAGTGCCTAGTCCTGCAGAACGAAGGAGAAAAACAAAGCATGGCTCAATTCAGGCAAAGCACACTCAGATATTGCATGACTTTGAGTAGATCATGGGACTGCTCTGTATATAAGTTTTTTCTTCTACTGAAAATATCTGGCCTTACTAATACACTTAATTATCATGCAAATAAAATAAACTGTCAGATACATAAATATAAATAAGTAAATATATGTAAGCACAAATGTTTATGTAAATTAAAGTGGAAACATTTTGTATTTCACAATAGTTATACATGATTTGGAAATATTTATATTCTTTAACTCAATAAACACACATCTAGAAAAACCTATCCTAAGAAAATAATCAGTAGTTATCCAAAGATTATGCAAAAAAAATTTACTGAAGCACACTTTTATTTAGAAAAAGATGGAAACAACCTAAATGATTATTAAAGTTTGTAACATGCAGCTATTTAAAGTTTTCAAAGACTAGTAATGACTTGGAAAAATGACACAATGTTACATTTAACATTTTACAAACTGTATGGTATCAATTGTTATATATGTACATAAATAATGTACAAACAAAAAAACTGGAAGAAAAGATATGAATATACTAGCCATTTTTATTTCTGGGTAATTTTTATTTTCTTTATTATACTTTCATATTTTTACATGTTCTAAATAACCATGTATTACTTTTTAAATTGACAAAGAGAAGAATGTTATTTTGAAAAAAATGTTTACCCGCAATAATAAAAGAAAATTGAAGCAAAATGAATATTGTATCATTTAAATTTGTTACAAAATAGCATACTAGGCTGTTTAGCGGGGGTGTGCCTACTCTTGTTTTGGTATGCAGTTTAAGCCCCTCTTTTAGGAAGCACCACATGACCACTACATAACCACACCAGATGAATCTCTTCCCTACTGCACACCCCAACCTCTGGTGCACCAGCACCCTGGGACCCACTGCTACATCCCTCATCATACTGCACATGGGCAGCGAAGGTCTGGCACTTCCATGTTAGCATAATGCCTTTGGCCAATATTTAGGGATAACTTAAAAAACTAGCCTATAAAACAACTCCTTCTATTTAATGTGAAGACATTTTCAAATGCAAAATATTGTTGCCTAATTATGCACACTCCTCTCGTGAGGATCATTTGGGAGAAATTCTCTCTGGTCTCAATTTCAGGAATAGTCACACTTCTTTCCAACATGTTTGACTTGAATCGTGTGAACATTACGAATTGTTGAATCATGCTTCTCTCAACTTGTTGGCTGCTAGAAAGTTCAGCGCTCATTCTGTGATCCACCTCTGGCAAAACAAAACAAAACAAAACAAACAGCATGCTTTTTTTTTTGGAGACGGAGTATCGCTCTGTCGCCTAGGCTAGAGTGCAGTGGCATGATCTCGGCTCACTGCAACTTCTGCCTCCCAGGTTTAAGCAATTTTCCCACCTCACCCTCCCAAGTAGCTGGGATTATAGGTGTGTGCCACCATGCCCAGTTAACTTTTGTATTTTTAGTAGAGACGGGGTTTCGCCATGTTGGCCAGGCTGGTCTCGAACTCCTGGCCTCAAGTGATCCACCCACTTCAGCCTCCCAAAGGCTGGGATTACAGGCATAAGCCACTGCGCCCGGCCCCCAGCATGCATTTAATGTGTGACTCTTGTGCAGAATCCTTCATTCTACTTCCAGGCATTATTTTTCTTCCTTACCACTCTGTCCTCATTTTTAAAAAGCTATGTTATTTTGGTGTTTGAATTTATGATTGCAAGACTCTTTTGAAGCCAATCACACTATGTATCAATCAACTAGTTAATGAAACAAACAACTTCGGATCATTTTTATACTATTATTTTTTGTACTGTTGTATAATAATTTTACATCTTCTATGTATGAGGCAATGTTGCTTGATTGCTGAATTTATTTAATTTTTCTTTGTGGAGAAAAAGTATTTCCACATTGCATTTTTTTAAAAAGAAAATTTAAATAATTACTTGTGAGGGGTTTGTTTTTTCTCCAGATGGTTGGTGACTTGTCAAGAGGGCCACTATGTTAGTGACACTATTTTTTCTGCCACATCATAAAATGATTAGGTAGAAATTTTAATGTATTCTAATGACCAAAATCTTAATTTACAACATTCACCATGTTTTAAAATATTCAAACATCTGTTCCAGTTGCATTGCAATGGCAAAGATTCATTTCTTTCTTATTTGGCAAGCACTACAAATATATCTGTTATTTACAAGCGTGTTGCCTCATCTATCAAGGTTGCTCAGAGCAGACAGCATTTAGTGACTAAGTACGGCATGGCAAAGAATGATAAAAAAGAAAAATGATTCCAGCCATAGTTATGTTAATTCAGGAATGTCAACTGTGAAATGTTAAATCTCCCATCAAATAAGCATTTCCCAAAAGGAAGCTTGACCACCATCTCAACACAAACTCAATAAATATAATTTGTGCAGTTGAAATTGTGCAGTCGAAGCAATCATTGTACTGGGTTTTTTTCTTTTTCGTTCTTTCTTTCTTTTTGTTAGTTGGTTCCATATCAAAGTCTCAAATTAAACGGAGACCTCTAGAAACCCCAACAGAGCAGCCCACAGCAAAATTAAATGGGTAATGACAAGAGTGAGAGGAAAATATTTTAATTGAACATTAGATTTCATGAATTTAGGTTCTCTCACATATTTTCCAAGGCACATTTTATATCTTTGATATTTGGGGTGTTTTTTTTCCATTTTATTTCATATATCTCTTTAGGGCATCGCTCTAAAGGATATCTAGAGGGGCAAAGAAAATGGCATTGGACATTAGTCCCCTTAGAACATTTCTAAATAAGGGCCTCCCCTGGATATTTATGGATATGCAATTCTGCTTTCTCCTGGGCATTCCCCCATGTGATTAAATAAAATATAGTAAGGGTATTTTTAGATATAGAGAAACCATGTATAAGGAAATACCTATGGGACAGAAAAAAATAGATACAATAACTTTTCATTTAGATAGCTCATAGGCAAGTGCAGCACCTAAATTCCTTAGGAAGAATCAGGTCTGAAAATTCTGTCAGGTAGTATGAAACTGTTATGCAAGAATTTGGTTGACCCAAGGTCAAGGTTTGGAGGATCAAATAAGCTTGGAAGACTGAGGCAGAAACTCTAAGGCCAGACAAACAGGGAGCGGAATTAGAAGACAGAGATTAGCTAAGACAAAAGAGTCCCACTGTTACCAAAGGTTTATACAATCTTTTGTCTTATGGCATAGATTGGGTGGCTAAGCACTACCACTATTTATCCCAAGCACAATGTGAGGCCCCAGGCTTCCAAGGATTTGTGAAATGCCATCCCCAGAACAGCACAATGTAGTCGAAAAAGCAGATTCACAAAGATAAAGTAGCAATAATGACAGCCACTTCCATTTATTAGCATGCGCTCTATACCAGGCACTGTGCTGAGCATTTTATTTTCCTTTCTCATTTTCTCTTTCTCACAACCCTCTCTCCTGGGCCACACTCCAGCCAAGGAGAGCACCCTAAGCACAAGGCTTGCCAGCTTCCACAGGGCAACCCCAAGGAGGCAAGCACCATTATTTCCCCCACTTTACAATGAGGAGAGCTTCAGAGAAGCCAAGTAACTTGTGAAGGCAAGACAATTAGTGAATGGCACAGGCAGGCCTCATAACAATATTTTTAACCATGTCTGAAATATCAGGCAATAAGAACAGGTAATTGATTAAAGAAGTAGTACAAATGACCAGTGAATCTATGATAAAAATGTAACCTCTCTGGTAAATAAATAATGCTAATTAAAATGAGATCACATTTGTCATTGATCAAACTGGGGACATTTTATTTTGCTGTATATCTTTTGAGAAAGTAGTAGGTGCTCATATCCTGCCAGTAGAAGCTCAAAGTGACCACTTTCTAGAACACAATTTTATAACAGGAATTCGTTTAACAAAATGAATATGTAAAACTAACAATTCAACTTCTACATTTTACTTTAAGAAACAAAAATAAGACCTAATATTTTCTATGTATATATTTTCCGGGCACTTGGGATAGAATGGTGAGCAAGATATAGTTGGTCTCTGTCCCTATTGAGTTTAAGGGTAATGATGCTCATTATTATATCATTCACATAATAGCCAAAAAATTGGAAGTAATGGGGGTTGAGTAAATAAACTATAACACATCCATAAAATAAATTGCAGCTATAAATGAAATACTATGCTGTAGAATAACTCTAAGGTGTTGGCAAATGTTCATAATATTTTCTGGAGAAGTAGATTATAAAATATAAGGCTGTGAAACAGAATGCATGTTCTTTATAGTCCACACTTTGTACATTCTTTAAATTGTGTTTATTCACTTAACAAATGTTTATTGAAAACATATTTCATGGCAGGCCCTAGGGAAACAGTTATACATAAACAGATAAAGGCTTTGCCTTACTAGAGCTTACATTCTAATTAGAAGAAGAGACAATAAACAAAAGTAATAAATATATGATATAACATTATTATGAAAAAAATTGAGTAATATATGTTAGCCAGAGAAGGAAGCTCTGATCAGGTAACATTTGAGGGAAGACTTGGAAAAGGTAAAAAAAGTGAGCCCTGAAGTAATCTGAAATAAGAGCATTAGAAGCAGAAAGAACAAGAAGTGCAAAGGCCCTGAGGCAGAATGGGCTTGTGTTCTAGGAAGAGCAGAGTGAGTGAGAGAGAATGGTAGAGGATTATAGGAGACAGCTAGTGGAGGGGTCAGATTGTGTAGAGGCTTGAAGGTCATGGTAAAGAATTTGGACTTAATTTTGAATTAGATAAGAGAGTCAGGCAAGTTTGAAGAATAGACTTTAGGGATGGCAAAAGGAAGATGTTAGACTAGCTGGTAGTAGTGGAGCTCATGAGAAGACCCTGGAGTTGACCTGACATTGACTGAAATGGAAAAACTAGGAGAGGAGACATTTTACAGTAATAGATGGAAGAAAAAAATCAAAAGTTTGCCCGGGGACATGTGGCAGCCATGAAAAAATGCCTCTCAGATCTCCAGCTGCAGTGAGTGTGTTGAACCACGGCTCAGCTGCTGGACCCACTCACACCCAGGCCATGCTTTTTCCAGGCTGCTCCCAGCTAAGCACTCCTAGGGATACTAAGTCATGCCCATCACAAGAAATGTGGGATTTCTCCGATGGTGACTTTGGCTCAAGGACCCCATGCCAACTTTGCTGAAACTTTCTTAGGACTGCATCAAAGTCTAAGACTTCCTACCCAAAGTCCTAAGACTTTCTTCCCTCTGTCCCCAACATGGGGTAGCTCTGCATCCCAGTGTGACAGCTCCCCCAGCCTCCTCCAGTTCCCCCACTCTTCTCCAGTTCCTTCCCCATTTTTTCCTCACAAGCATTTCCCCCAATAAATAGGATTGAACCTCTAATCTCATCTTGGTATCTATAATACTTCTCAGCAGACTCAAACTTATGCCAATGTTGAGTTTAAGATGCTAATAAACACCCAAATGAAGATGTCAAGTGGACAGTGTAGAGTTCAGAGTTGGGAATAGAGATATAAAATGGGAGCCATCCGCACACAGACGGCATTTAAAGCCAGAGAGCTAGATGACCTTGCTTTATTCAACCTTCATTTCCTTCAGTGCCCAGATCCTAGCTAACCACCTGAGAAGGATAACCCTAGTATGTTATTTCATGCTGAAGTGTGCTTTGTGATGAATACCTTCCTGGCAAGGGCCACCCCTATAGGAATGTCTGCATTTACCTTAGGATGTTCATGAAGTGAACCCAAAGGATCAACCTCTCCTGGTGGAATTTCGAGTCCCACGGCAATTGAGTGAGTGGAATTATTTTTTGTTTTCCCTATGTCCATTCAGAGTCATACTCTTATCACTTTTGACTAAATCAAACTTGTAGATATTTTTGTTTATTTCCCATTGGTTTTTATCATCCAATTTCTGCTCTCCACTCCAAATCATCCCTTCACCTTCTCATCCTTCTCTTTTTTATTTTCCTTCAGTGAAAACTACTTTATTCCTGGAATTGCTTTGTAAGCAATTTCACTAACTATGCTCAGGAATATGTAGTTAAGGCCCCTAAATCTTCCTGCAACATAAAGTAAAGGAAGGTGCAATATCCTCTACCCAAATAAGCCAATAGAAAGTCTATCAGTTAAGGAAAGTCAACATGTAGAAAAACTGAAAAATATGATGAAGAGCAAGAAAATAATATGAAAGTGGAACAGTTAAATTTAGACAAGGATAAAAGAAATGTTATTTATATAAAAGTAATAGCCACTCTTTCCCCTACCCCCTTATTTTTATCTAGCATTTCCAGCAAAAAAATATTCTCTAAATTCATCCTTTCCTCTGGTTCCTGTCAGTTGTTATATTCAGCTTCCATCTGCCTTCCTCCATGTGTGAGTGCACACTTATTTCCTCCCTTTTCACATATACATAGGAGAGATAAACATTCTCTTGGTAACAAAAATCAATAAACTTGATGTAAAATTTATGAAAACTACATTAGCAAAGTTAAGGAAAATCATATTTATATCCTCTTGACTGATGAATAAACACTATGCATTTCTCAGTGGTGTCTTCTTGCATTTACAACGTTAGCATCTCTCAAAACCCAGTGACAGAACACAAATCATGGAAAGCATGAGTATTCTTACGGAGGTAATGGAGCAGAATATTAAGATCTAGTTGTCCTCAAAAGTCCAAAATGTGTCACCACTGTGCCTAATTATTGCATTAATTTAAAAGCCTAGGTCTATAGTAACATCTCACTTGGCCTCACGGTGCTGCTGCAACTAGCCCCTGGCTCAGCCCATGTACTGTTATGTTAGTGCAAAAGTAACAGCAAAAACCACAATTACTTTTGCACCACCTAATAGCTTAGAAAGGCAGCCAGGACCTTTCTGCTATGCCAAAGGGCCTTGGGGAATTTTTAGAGTTAACCTGATTTTATTGTGAAACCCCAAAATAAACTACCACTGAGACTAATAATCCCAGGAAACATTGCAGTACAATACCATGAAGCTAGTCTTGATGTTTTCCCTTTCTCTAACCAAAGCTGTAATTAAGATCATTATGGGATTTCCCTCTGCCCCCAGGGAAACACAGTTCCAGTTTTATAACGCAGTCAATGGAACAGTAGGAATCAATTTGAAAGTTTTGAACAGAATCTTTGGCAATACACACATCTACTTTTAAATTGAGGTATACCTCAATATACACAAACTCCCTAAAGCTCCAAGAATATCAAAAGTAATTTGGAAAACAGGATTGATGTTTGTGTGAAAATATAACATCATTTAACACATTTAGTTTGCCCAAGGGAAGAATAGCTTACAAGTACTCTTTCTGTGAACTGTAAACACCACAAAGATTTTATATAGAGAAAATGAATTAAGAAAAATTAAATGGCTATCAGGAAAAAGAAAAACTGTCTCCATATAATGATTATCTCCCCCCTCGGATTAATTAAGATATTAAATGGACTTACTCAAGAACTAGTAATGACTCTAACACTGGGGATATGTAATAGCTTTAAATTAGTCATGAGGACAGGGACAGCCTATGTGCCCATTCTTGGGTCTTTACAGTTTTTCTTCACCCTTGGTTTCAGGAAGGTTAAAATTCATGGAAAAGTGGGGAAAGGAGAATATAACTGACAGAATACAGCATCCAATTCAAAAAGCTGCAATTCCTTATGGCAGTTTCTAGTGAACATGGAGCACTCACTCTCCACCCCACCCAACCCCAGAAGGCAGCCTCACTTGTATGGTTAATGTGCTTCTCTTCCATTCTGCTTTAACAATGCCATGGCTTGCACTCAGTGAAAGGTGAATGAAATGCATCATCATTGTCGAACCTCAAGGATTTTAGTTTTATGGAATACTGAAAAATGACACTGCTGGCATAGATGTTACTTTTCTTAGGAAGAATAGTTAGGCAGGGACATTGTTTCAAATGCCTTTAGACCAGCAAATATGCACAAGTGGCAAAACATGAGGGGATTTGTTCATAAATCCATGGGAGGCACTGTCTGTACACACTTGTAGAAATATCTGGGGAAAAGACATTTTGCATGGAGTGAGATGTCCTGTCCAATGAGGGGTGCTACACCAACAGCAACATGCAAGTTATTACTATTAATAGGAATTTCACTTGTACATACTGACAGGTGAAGACTTGGAAAGTCTGAATTTCATACCAAAGTTTCCATTTGGATAACTGAAAATTTTCGTTTTATTTATGTAATCTGAATATGTTTATCCAATTTATTCAATATTAAAGTATGGTGCTATTAAATGAAGAATGGAAGGATTCCTTACTGGTTCATCATTTGTGTTTCTAATCTGCAGGTGGTGAGAAAAGATGTAACAAGAACCTTTTCTGCATACCATCAGCTGTAGTGCTCCATGTCAAGATCCCAGCAATCCTACTCAAAAGAAGACATTCACTTGCTAGCTCGAGTGTTAGCTCAAAATCTGTGTAGTGTCCTGTGCTGGTAAACTTACCTCTGTCACATGGGAACTGCAAGGTTCATTTCAAACACCTAACTCAATAGTCACAGCAAACACATAGTTCTTACCACATCAAGACACTCTTCTAATGGCTCTACACATTGTAATTTATTTAATTTTCACTTCTATTAAGGAGTTGCTATTTAATCCCTGCCTTAAAGAGAAGGAAATCATTGCACAGAGTGTGAAAAGCTAGGCTGTGTAAGCAGGCAGTCTGGATCCAGGGTCTTAGCCAAACCTGAAGACTTAGGCAGCTAGCCCCATGCTACCTGCTTCTCCAGGTTCTGCTGGAGAGGAGAAGGTAGTGCTAGCAAAAAGAAGGACAGCCGGGAGCAGTGGCTCACGCCCGTAATCCCAGCACTTTGGGATGCCAAGGTGGGCAGACCACCTGAGGTCAGGAGTCCGAGACCAGCCTGGCCAACATGGTGAAACCCCATCTCTACTAAAAATACAAAAATTAGCCAGACATGGTGGCAGGTGCCTGTAATCCAAGCTACTCGGGAGGCTGAGGCAGGAGAATCACTTGAACCTGGGAGGTGGAGGTTGCAGTGAGCTGAGATAGTGCCGCTGCACTCCAGCCTCCACAATAGAGTGAGATTCTGTCTCAAAAAAAAAAAAAGAAAAGAAAAGAGAGAGAGAAGGAGGAGCCATTAAGCTGCTTAAATATACCAAAGACAAATTCTAAGAGGAAGACATGATGCAAAAAAGAAAAGCAAAGATCCAAAGTGGGCTGATATGGTTTGGCTTTGTGTCCCTGTCCAAATCTCATGTTGAATTGTAATACCCAGTGTTAGAGGAAGTGCCTAGCGGGAGGTGATCTGATCATGGGGGCATTTTCTAATGGTTTAGCACCATCCCCCTAGTGCTGCTTGCTTAAAAGTGTGTAGCACCTCCCCCAACTCTCTTTCTCTCTCTCTCTCCTGACGGTGATGTGAAGACGTGCTTGCTTCCCCTTCACCTTCTGCCATGACTGTGTTTCCTGAGGCCTCCCCTGAAACAGAAGCCTGTATAGCCCGCAGAGCCATGAGCCAATTAAGCCTCTTTTCTTTATAAATTACCCAGTCTCAAGTAGTTCTTTATAGCAGTGTGAGAATGGCCTAATACAGAAAATAAGCCATCAGAGGCAGCACCAAGCTGCCTCTATCTCTAATCTTTTCACTTTTACAAAAAGCAAAACTTTCTTTCTTAGTATCTGTATTCTTGACCCATGCCAAAGCTTGTTTAGTGGCAGTGATCTAGAAGGTGGAGTGCATTTTTTAAAAAAACAAGTTGCTGCAACAATATGTCCCAAGACTACCTCACAATATCTATGCTGTGGCCATGAGGAGCCCCGTCAAGAATGCCACTCTACCTCAATGACATCAGTGTAACAAGGCATTTCTGACAGGTCGTGCTATTACTCAGAAGTTGTAAACATCTCATTTCTCCCTTTTCTGTCCACCCATTCCAAACTGTTTGTTTTCACTGATGTGCTTGGGAGCTTTGGTTTTGTAAATGGAGAAGAGAGGAGTTTTGTTGGAGAGGGACTGGGGAAAAGCTGAGGCTCCATAGGGGATAGAATGGCATCTGGCCTTCACTTAATCTCTTGAATTGATTTTGAGCCCCTTTGGAGAAGGAGACTGGAGACTTTGTGACTCTCTGGTACAAGCAGAGCTGCACCGGAGTCAAAGTGACCAAGTGTGGCCCAGAGTTGGAAGGAGCCCATTCTATTCAGCAATACTCACCACTCCAATAACCAGGGAGCATCCAGATGTATCACCCTTGGCATGAACACTGGCATGTCATGATTGGCAGTGACAAAAGCAGTTTTGTAGGTAATAAGGGTGGACAAGGGACAAGGGTGGACCAGGAAAATGAGAACAAATTTCATTTGACAGCTGACAGGCTGCTTGGTAGGCCTACATGAGGCACACCTTTGGGAACATCAAATCCAGCTAATAGGGCCTTATCCCACCTAATTTTAGGTAGGAAAAGGAACTGTGGCCTTGTTTTATAATCAGTGCTAGCATGTGATGTGGCATATTTATTTAAGTGAGCGTCCATCTAAGCTCCATATCACCTCATACTTGAACTGCAGTAGCCTCTCTGCCTTCAGACTCTCCTTCCTATAGCCTGCATGGTATTTCCAATAATTTAATTTCCTTGCCCAAAATGGCCTCTATTCCCCAAGATGAGATGTGCCTGTGGGCAAGATAAAATGTAATTCTAATTACTGAGGAGAGCTGGTAGGGTGATCAATCATCCACGTATTCCCAGGACTATCCCGGTTTTCACATCAAAAGTCTCATGTGCTGGGAAACCCCTCATCCCCAACAAACTAAAAAGGTTGCTTATCCTTGCTGACCATTGACTTTGGCTTCGGATTAGCATAAAGGTGTGTGGGGTTTTATAAATATATATATATATTTCTAATGATGTGCTCCAACACAGAGAAGAAGCATTAATAGATGCTATTTTTACACCAAGGAGCAATGAAATTTAGCTGCTTACTTCATATAGGCAGTTTGGTTGCTATGGGAACAGTGAGTGGCAAACTTAATTGTACAAACATATAAAATCGACAAAAATGTGCTTGTTTTATACCTTTAACTTTTATATTTGCTACCACAGGCTAAGGCCCTCAGATTGTGAAATTACATTATAACACTTTAACATAATTATTTACCTTTCAAAATGTTATTACCAACATATTTGGAAACTAATTAGTGATCATATTTATAACTTCTGTTTAAAACATGTCTTTACTTTGGGAGAATGTTTAGGCCATCAATTTAATTCTAGACATGAATTATAAACTCTCTGAGGACAGCATGTTTGAACAACTACTAAATTCTTGGTGCACAGACGGTACCTAATGTATACCCACAGTTACAGGGAATAGTCTGCACATTTTTATGTGCTGAAGTTAAGACTCTGAAATCATTTATTTATTTAGACCCTACCCTATAAAGAATTTAAGGAGGTTTTAAAAATGTAAGATAAAGCAAGAAAGGAAGAAATGAATATAAAGAGAAAATGTGGGTAGAAAAGTACATTGGCTTCAGGAATAAGGTTAGTACAAAACAAAATGCATGTCAAGAAGTTGCATTTCCTCACAAAATTCTAAATATGGGTTACATGTGTATTTCTGAACCATCTAACAGGCAATTGAAAGGGAAAAACATGCTCTATTATAAAATTCAGTATTCATTTGGTAAAAACAAACCAATTACCTAAAAATAGTATAAACATTGATAGAAAAATGAAAGATATTTATCATATGGTCTTCACATAAAGGACACTATTCAAGATGGTAAATATCTAAATCAATTGCCAAATATCTAACCTAAGACTACTGTGTAAGTGAGGATAATTACATAATTACTTAAAGAGAAAAATATCTTATTCATCTAAAAAGAGGAGAAGTGGGCAGTTCAAGAAAATATAAAATAATGATCTCAATTAATAGTAATTAAGACCTTAGTAACAAAGTAATTCTTTGTCATAGGTAATAGATAATAACCACATGGCTTTGAAAAAAACTATGTCAAGAATTTTATTTTTCTCTGTTAAAATAATGGGCAAAAAAGTAATATCTATGTGCCCCCAAATACCCTGTGAAACACTGTATACAATAAGCTATACCAATAATAGCAAATAATTTCTATTTGATAGAAATTATAGATCTTTCTAACATACAACAGGTTTTACACGCAATACTTCATTGGTTCTTTTATGACACTAATCATACGAAACAGGAAACAAGTGACTTTTTCAACTTGAAAGTTGATCTCAGATTCAAACTTATTTCTGAATCAAGCCTATATGCACTCCAATACCTCTGACTAATTAAATAAATTAACACATAGTTCATAATATAGAGATTCTTTAATAAAAATATATTCAAGCTACAAAACATAATCTTAGTTGTGACATTATACTACAGTTAGCCCTCCATTTCTTCAGGTTATGCATCTGCAGATTCAACCAAATACAGATGGAAAATATTTTAAAAATTAAAAAACAATATAACAATTAAAATAATATAAATAAAAACAGTAATAATAACAACTATTTACATAGTATTCTTATTTTATTAGGTATTTTAAGTAATCTAGATTGATTTAAAGTATACCTGAGGCACTGTCCACCCCACCAGCAACCATGCCCCCACATAATGCTAAGGGGCCTGAAGACCACCCTGCCAGAGGCCCATCACCACTCATGCTGGTGACTCCACATCTTCCAACAGTAAGGCTGCTGCACATGCCACCCAGGGGCCCAAGACTCAGCACACCTAGCATCCCTATCCCCAGCAAATCTGCACCACAGCCTCCACAAACAACCTCAGTCCAGGCCATCAAGGAACTCACAAACACCGAGGACACTGATTACAACTAAAGAAAATATACAGAGACTACCCTAATGCACCCACCCAGAACCAAAGCCAAAACACCCTAGCCAACTAACACTGTAGAACACATGTATAAGAAAAAGACTTTCCCTACAAAAGCTACTTCATAAAATTGGAAGAAGCAACCGTTCCAACAGATGTGCACATATTAAGATAGGTATACAAGAAACATGAAAAAGCAAGGAAACATGCCACTTCCAAAGGAACACAATAATTCTTTAATAACAGAAACCAAAGAAACAAAAATTGATTAAATGCCTGAAAAGAACTTCAAAACAATGCTCTTAAGGAACTCACCAAGATACAAGAGAACACAGACAGATGATTCAATGAAATCAGAAAAACAATTTATGATCTGAACAAGAAATTTAACAGAGATAGATACAAAAAAGAATCAAACATAATCTTGGAACTGAAAAATTAAATTAGTTAAATTAATAATACACTTAACTGCTTAACAACAGACTAGATCAAGCAGAAGAAATAATATCTAAACTTGAAGACAGGACTTTTGTTTGTCTTTGTTTTTGAGACATGGTCTCGCTCTGTTGCCCAGACTGGAGTGCAATGGCACAATCTCAGCTCACTGCAACCTCCACCTCCCACGATCAAGCCATTCTCCCACCTCAGCCTCCCAAGTAGCTGGGACTACAGGTGCATGCCACCATGCCTGGATAATTTTTGTATTTTTTGTAGAGATGGGATTTTGCCATGTTGCCCAAGCTGGTCTTAAACTCCTGAGCTTAGGCAATCCACCTGCCTTGGCCTCCCAAAGTGCTGAGATTACAGGCATAACCCATCACACCTAGCCAGGTCTTTTAAAATAACTCAGTCAGATATTTAAAAAATAAATAAATAAATAAAAAGAATTTTAAAATGAAGAAAGCCTACATGACCTATGAAACACCATCACACAAAAACTTATTTATGATGGGAATTTCAGAAGGACAAGATATGGGAAAAGGCATAGAAAACCTACTTGGTGAAATAATAGCTAAAAACTTAAATCTTGGAAGAGTTAAGGACATTGAGGTACAAAAAGCTTAAAAATCACCAAACAGATTCAACCCAAAAAAGTCTTTTCTCAGACACATTATAGTCAAACTGTCAAAAGTCAAAGACAAAAAGAGAATTCTAAAAACAGCAGAAGTGTCTAGTCACATATAAGGAAATCCCCATCAGACAAACAGCAAAGTACTAAGTAAAACCTTACAGGCTAGAATAGAATAAAATGATATATTCAAAGTGCTGAAAAAAAATCACTGTCAGCCAAAATTACTATACACAGCAACACTATCCTTCGGAAATGAAAGACACATAAAGAAAGAGTTCTTCCAGACGGGCAAGAACTGCAGGAATTCATCACTAGGCTGGCCCTACAAGAGATGCTAAAAGGAGTGCTATATCAAGAAATGAACAAATGATATCTGCCATCACAAAAACCCACAAAAGTATAAAACTCATTGGTAAAACAGAAACACAAATGAAAAAAGAGTTAGGAATCAAAACTTATTGCTACAAAAAACCACCAAACCACAACGAGAAACAAAAGAGGAATAAAGAAAGAGGGATATACAAAACAACCAGAAAACAATTAACAAATAAAAGGAGTAAGTCCTCATCTATTAATAACAACCTTAAATGTATATTATTTAAATTTCCCAGTTAAAAGATACAAACTGGCTAAATGAACTTTTTAAAAAACCAACAAACAACTATATGCTGCCTACAAAAACCTCACTTCACCTGTAAAGACACACATAGAATTAAAATGAAGGGATAGAAAAAGATATTCCACACAAATGGAAACCAAAAATGAACAGGAGTAGCTACATTTCTATCAGACAAAGTAGCCTTTAAGAAAAAAAATTTAAAAAGACAAATAAGAGCATAATATAATGATAATGGGATTAATTCAGCAAGAAAATATAACAATTATAAATATATTCACACAACACAGGAGCAACAAGATATATAAACCAAATATTACTAGTGCTAAAGACAGGGATAGACCCAAGTAAGTAACAGTTGAGGACTTCAACATTCCTCTCTCAGCACTGGACAGATCATTTAGAAAGCAAATTAACAAAGAAGCATTGAATTTAAATGGTACTATAGATAAAATGGACCTAACAGACATTTACAGAACATTTCATTCAACAGCTGCAGAATGCATTCTTTTTATCAACACATGTGGAACCTTCTCCAGGATAGATCATATGTTAGGCCACAAAACAAGTCTTAACAAAATTTTAAAAATCAAAATCATATTAAGTATCTTCTCAGACCACAGTGGAATAGAACAATATCAATACCAAGAGCAACTTGGGAACTTTTGTAAATACAAGGAAATTAAACAACATGCTCTTTAATGACCAAAGGATCAATAAAGAATTAGGAAAGAAATTCAAAAAATTATTGAAACAAATGAAAAATGAAACACAACATACCAAAATCTATGGGATGCAGCAAAAATGGTACTAAGAAAGAAGTTTACAGCAATAAACACCTACATCAAAAAAGGAGGAAGACTTCAATAAACAACTCATGTGCCTCAAATAACTAGAATATCAGGAACAAACCAAGCCCAAAATTAGTAGAAAGAAAGAAAGAGTCAAAGATCAGATAAGAACTCAATGAAATAGAGACAAAAAAAATTTACGATATCTGAGACAACAAATATTTAAATATTTGTTGATATTTTAGATATCAACAAAATTGAGTTGTTTTTGAAAATATAAACAAAATCAACAAGCCATTAGCTAGACTAGCTAAGAAAAATTGAAAGAAGACCCAAATAAAGAAAATCAGAAACTAAAAAGAAGACATTACAGCTGAACAACAGAAATACAAGGGGACTACTATGAACAACTCTACTCCAATAAACTGGAAAACCTAGAAGAAATGGATAAATTCCTGAACTCATATAACCTACCAAGATTGAGCCAGAAAGACATGTTTAAAACTTGAACAGACAATAACAATTATATCAAATCAGTAATAAAGTCTCCCAACAAATAAAAGCCCAGGACCAGATAGATTCACTGCTGAATTCTATCAAACTTTTCAAGAAGAACCAGCACCCGTCCTCCTCAAAGTATTCCAAAAAAAAAAAAAAAATTGAAAAGGAGAGATTTCTCCTTAACTCATTCTATGAGACCAGAATTACCCTGATATCAAAACCAGACAAGAATACAAAAAGAAAACTACAGGCCAATATTCCTTAACACAGATATAAAAATCCTCAAAAAATACTAGCAAACCTAGGCTTGGTGCAGTGGCTCATGCCTGTAATCCCAGCACTTTGGGAGGCTGAGGCAGGCAGATCACGAGGTCAGGAGATCCAGACCATCCTAGCTAACACAGTGAAACCACGTCTCTACTAAAAATACAAAAAATTTTCCAGGCGTGGTGTCGGGCGCCTGTAGTCCCAGCTACTCGGGAGGCTGAGGCAGGAGAATGGTGTGAACCCGGGAGGCAGAGCTTGCAGTAAGCCGAGATTGCACCACTGCACTGCCTGGGTGACAGAGTGAGACTCCATTTCAAAAAAAAACCAACATATATATATATACATATATATATATAAACCAACATTAATATATATATATATTAGCAAGCCAAATCCAACAGCACATCAAAAAGATAACACAGGCCAGGCGCGATGGCTCATGCCTGTAATACTAGCATTTTGGGAGGCCGAGGCAGGAGGATCACGAGGTCAGGAGTTCAAGCATACAACATGGTGAAACCCCATCTCTGCTAAAAGTACAAAAACTAGCCAGGTATGGGGGTGCGTGCCTGTAATCCCAGCTACTCAGGAGGCTGAGGCAGGAGAATCGCTTGAACCGGCGAGGCAAAGGTTGCAGTGAGCCGAGATCATGCCACTGCACTCCAGCCTGGGCAACAGAGCAAGACTCCATCACAAAAATAAATACATACATACACGCATACGAGCACAGCATGGTCAAGTGGGATTTATCTCAGGAATGCAAGGATTGTTCAACATACATAAATCAATAAATGTTATGCATTGCATCAACAGAAAGAAGGGCAAAAGTATATGATCATTTCAATAGGCACATAAAAAATATTTGATAAAATTCAACATTTCTTTATGATAAAAACCATCACCAAACTTGGTATAGAAGGGGCATAACTAAACACACAGAAATGGCCATATGTGATAAACCCACAGCTAACATCATACTGATTGAGGAAAAGGTACAAAAGCCTGGACTTCAAAATCACAGGCAAATGAAAGCAAAAATATACAAATGGAAGCATATCAAACTAAAAATTTCCACATAGCAAAGAAAACAACCAACAGAGTAAAGAAAAGAGACAGTCTGTAAAATGGGAGAAAATATTTACAAACTATTCATCCGACGAGGGACTAATATACAGAATATATAAAGAACCCAATAACTCAACAGCTATAATAATACAAATCATCCAATTAAAAGATGAGCAAATGATCTGAATAGACGTTTCTCAAAAGAAGACATACAAATGGCCACAAGTATATGAAAAACACTCACATCCCTAATCATCAGAGAAATATAAATGAAAACCACAATGCAACATCATCCCACCCCAATTAGAATGGCTATTGTCAAAACGACAAAAAATTACAAATATTGGTGAGACTGCAGAAAAGGGGAATTCTTATACACTGTGGGTAGGAATGTAAATTAATACAGCCATTATGAAAAACAGTTTGGGGGTTTCTAAAAAACAATTAGAAATAGAACTACCATACGATCCAGCAATCTCACTACTGAGTATTTATCCAAAAGAAAAGAAATCAGTATATCAATTTTCTACACTTCCACGTTTATTACAGCAGTATTCCCAATAGCCAAGATATGGAATCAATCTAAGTGCCCATCAACAGATGAATGCGTGAAGAAAACTTGGTATATATACACAATGGAATACATTCAACCATAAAAAAGAAGGAAATGCTGTCATTCACAGCAACACAGATAAGCCTGGAGGACATTACATTAAATCAAGCACAGAAAGATAAATATCTTTTATAAATAATAAACCTTTTATTTTGAGGTAATTGCAGATTCACATGCATTTGCCAGAGGTAGTTTAGAGAAGTCTGGTATATCCTTCACTCAGCCTTCCCTTGCACATCTATACAGTTGTCCCATGATATCTGCGAGGGATTGGTTTCAGTATCCTCACAGAGAACAAAATCCAAGGATGCTCAAGTCTATTAAATAAAATGTTATAGTATTTGCATATAATCTACACACATCCTCCCATACACTTTATATTTATTCATAATCCTTTCCTATTATTTTTAGTTGACATGTATTAGTTGTTTATGTAATAAGATTTTCTTCCTAGGAGAAAATCTAAGGAATACCATTCAGGACATAGGCATGGGCAAAGATTTCATGAGAAAAAGGCCAAACGCAATTGCAAAAAAAGCAACAATTGACAAATGCAATCTGATTAAACTAAAGAGCTTCTGCACAGCAAAAGCAACTATCAACAGAGTAAACAGACAACCTACAGAATGGGAGAAAATTTTTGCAATCTATCCATCTGACAAAGACCTAATATCCAGAATCTACAAGGAACTTAAATTTACAAAAAAAGAAATTAAAAAGCGGGCAAAGGACATGAACAGACACTTCTCAAAAGAAGACATTCATGCGGCCAACAAATATATGAAAAAAAGCTCACCATCGCTGATCATTAGAGAAACACAAATCAAAACCACAATGAGATGCTATTTCACGCCAGTCAGAATGGCTATTAATAAAAAACCAAAAGACAACAGATGCTGGTTAGATTGTGGAGAAAAAAGGAATGCTTTTGCCCTGTTGGTGGAAGTGTAAATTAGTTTGACCATTGTGGAAGACAGTGTGGTGATTTTTCAAAGGCCTAGTGACAGAAATACCATTTGACCCAGCAATCCCATTACTGGGTATATACCCAAAGGAATATAAATCATTCTATTATAAAAACACCTGCACACATATGTTCATTGCAGCACTATTCACAATAGCAAAGACATGGAATCAACCTAAATGTTCATCAATGATAGACTGGATAAAGAAAATGTGGTACATATACACCATGGAATACTATGCAACCATAAAAAGGAACAAAATCATATCTTTTGCAGGGACATTGATGGAGTTAGAATCCATCATTCTCAGCAAACTAATACAGGAACAGGAAACCGAACACCACATGTTCTCACTAATAAGTGTTAGCTGAATGATGAGATCACATGGACACATGGGTGGAACAATACATACTGGGGCATGTCAGAGGGTGGGGGTAGGGAGGAGGGAGAGCAATAGCTAATGGATACTGGGCTTAATATCTAGGTGATGGGATGATCTGTGCAGCCAACTATTATGGTGCACATTTACCTCTGTAACAAACCTGCACATCCTGCACATGTACCTCTGAACTTAAAATAAAAAATTGAAAATAATAATAATAATAGTAAATAAAGAGATTGCATTCCATCATGGCAGATGGGAGGCAGGACAAGATTGCAGCTGTGACACGGATGAATACAGCAGCGTGAGGAGGTCCGTATTGTGAATTTTAACTCCAAAACGACCACAGGAATAAATCAGAAAACCCGATAGGATCCACAGATCCTCTTAAGGAAGTGGATTGCTCACGCAGGACCCAGGAGGCACCCCAAATACTGTGACCAAACTGTGGAAGTGGGAAAGGGAAATCCTCCTTAACCAAACACACACTCCTACTGGAGAAACTCAAGGCCTAGTTTGCAGAAGATTCCAACCTTAACTGGAGCCAAGTCAATTTAGAGAGCCGAGTGAAATACAGGGGTAGAGGAAGCAGCAGCAAAGTACCTGTGAGCTTCCCAAGCAGGCCATTCCTGCCTGACACCACAGGGATCCTTCAGGAGGGCAGCCAGAGGCACAGGGAAAATGCCACAGGGAGAAGAAAATCTCCAGCTGAACTTAGTAACAATTTGAACTGGCTGAAAAGCCTCCTGGCCAGAACTCGAGGAAGGGTGGGAATCCCAGCGTGCAGACTCCACAGGCGGGGGAAGAACTAAAGCCCTACTTTCTTTTCCAGCTGGGAGGTGGGTAGCCTAGGGCAGGTTCTCAGCCCTGCTTGCTTACAGCCTGGAAACAGACTCATTGCTGTCAGTGGGGCACTGTGGGAGTGAGACCGGCCCTTTGGATTGCATGGGAGCTGGGTGAGGCCTGTGATTGCCAGCTTTCCCCCACTTCCTTGACAACCTGCATGACTCAGCAGAGGCAGCCATAATCCTCCCAGGTAAATAATTCCATTGACCTGGGGAGCTCACCCCATCCCCCACAGGAGCCACAGCAAGACCTGCCCAAGGAAAGTCTGAGCTCAGACAGCCTAGCCCTGCCACCACCTGATGGTCCTTCCCTACCCACCCCAGTAGCTGAAGACAAAGGGTATATACTCTTGGAGGTTCTAGGGCCCCGTCTACCACCAGTTTCTCTCCATACTACCACAGCTGATGCTCCCTGTAAAGCGCCACCTCCTGGCAGGAGGCCAAACAGCACAAAAATAGAGCATTAAACCACCAAAGCTAAGAACCCTCACAGAGTCCACTTCACTCTCCTGCCACATCCACTGGAACAGGTGCTGGTATCCACGGCTAAGAGACCCATAGACAGTTCACATCACAGGACTCTGTGCAGAAAACCCCAGTACCAGGCCAGAGCCTAGTAGACTTGCTGGTGGCTAGACCCAGCAGAGAGATAATAATCACTACAGCTCAGCTCCCAGGAAGGAACATCGTAGGAAAAGGGAGAAAGTACTACCTCAAGGAAACACCCCATGGGACAGAAGAATCTGAACAATAGCCTTCAGGCCTAAACCTTCCATCTGACAGAGCCTACCCAAATGAGATGGAACCAGAAAACCATCTCCGGTAATATGACAAAACAAGGCTCTTTCACAACCCCAAAAAATCACACTAGCTCACCAGCAATAAATCCAAACCAAGAAAAAAAACCCTGATTTGCCTGAAAAAGAATTCAGGAGGTTACTTATTAAGCTAATCAAGGAGGCACCAGAGAAAGGCCAAGCCCAATGCAAGGAAACCCAAAACATGATACAAGAAGTGAAGGGACAAAATTCAATGAAATTGATAGCATAATGAAAAAAAAATCAAGACTTCAGGCAACTTTAGACACACTTATAGAAATCCAAAATGCTCTGGAAAGTCTCAGCAATAGAATTGAACTAGTAGAAGAAATTCAGAGCTCAAAGACAGGTCTTCAAATTAACCCAATCCAACAAAGACAAAGAAAAAAGAATAAGAAAATATGAACAAAGCCTCCAGGAAGTATTGGATTATGTTGAACAACCAAAAGTAACAATAATCAGGGTTCTTGAGGAAGAGAAATCTAAAAGCTTGAAAAACGTATTCAGGGAAAAAATTGAGGAAAACTTCCCTGGCCTAGCTAGAAACCTAGACATCCAAATACAAGAAGCACACAGAAGCCTGGGAAATTCATCACAAAAAAAATCATCACCTAGGCACGTTGTCACAAGGTTGTTTAAAGTTAAGAGGAAGGGAAGAATCTTGAGAGCTGTCCCTCCCCCAGCCCCCCACTCCCCAACAGGCCCCAGTGTGTGATGTTCCTCTCCCTGTGTCCATGTGTTCTCATTGTTCAACTCCCACTTATGAGTGAGAACATGTGGTGTTTGGTTTTCTGTCCTTGTGGTATTTTGCTGAGAATGATGGTTTCCAACTTCATCCATGTCCCTGCAAAGGACATGAACTCATCCCTTTTTATGGCTGCATAGTATTCCATGGTGTATATGTGCCACATATGGAAAGATACAGACTTTTCCAGACAGACAAAAACTGAAGAGAATTCGCCACTACCAAGCCACCACTACAACAACTGCTAAAAGGAGCTATATGTCTTGAAACAAATCCTGGAAATACATAAGAACAGAACCTCTTTATTGGGGGGAAATTCACCCCCAATATTTCACATAGGTTCTTTTCTATTTTCCCTAAGTGTCGGCTGGTCTGAGAAATAAAGGGAAAGAGTACAAAAGAGAGAAATTTTAAAGCTGGATGTCCAGGAAAGACATCACATGTCAGCAGGTTCCATGATGCCCCCCAAGCTGCAAAACCAGCAAGTTTTTATTAGTGATTTTTAAAAGGGGAGGGAATGTATGAATAGGGTGTGGGTCACAGAGATCACATGCTTCACAAGGTAATAAAATATCACAAGGCAAATGAAGGCAGGGTGAGATCACAGGACCGGGGCAAAATTAAAATTGCTAATGAAGTTTTGGACACACATTGTCATTGATAACATCTTATCAGGAGACAGGGTTTGAGAGCAGACAACCGCTCTGACCAAAATTTATTAGGCAGGAATTTCCTCATCCTAATAAGCCTGGGAGTGCTACAGGAGACCGGGGTTTATTTCATCCCTTATCTACAACTGTAAAAGACAGATGTCCCCAAAGCGGCCATTTCAGAGGCCTCCCCTTAGGGACACATTCTCTTTCTCAGGGATGTTCCTTGCTGAGAAAAAGAATTCAGCAATATTTCTCCTATTTGCTTTTGAAAGAAGAGAAATATGGCTCTGTTCCACCCAGCCCGCAGGCAGCCAGACTTTAAGGTTATCTCCCTTGTTCCCTGAACATCGCTGTTATCCTTTTTTCAAGGTGCCCAGATTTCATATTGTTTAAACAATTTGTGTAGTTAATGCAATCATCACAGGGTCCTAAGGCAACATTCATCCTCAGCTTACAAAGATGATGGGATTAAGAGATTAAAGTAAAGACAGGCATAGGAAACCACAAGGGTATTGATTGGGGAAGTGATAAGAGTCCATGAAATCTTCACAATTTATGCTCAGAGATTGCAGTAAAGACAGGTGTAAGAAATTGTAAAAGTATTAAAAAATTTGGGGAACTAATAAATGTCCATGAAATCTTCACAATTTATGTTCTTCTGCCATGGCTTCAACCGGTCCCTCCGTTCAGGGTCCCTGACTTCCCACAACACCTCTTTAAAGTATAAATCCCACAGGACCTACAAAACAAAAATACAATTTAAAAAACAAAAAACAAAAAACCAAGGTACACAGGCAACAAATAGCACGATTAATGGAATGGTACCTCACATCTCAATACAAACGTTGAATGCATATGGCCTAAATGCTCCACTTAAAAGATACAGAACTGCAGAATGCGTAAGAATTCACCAACCAACCATCTGCTGCCTTCAAGAGACTCACCTAACACATAAGGACTCACATAAACTTAAAGTAAAGGGTTGGAAAAAGGCACTCCATGCAAATGGACACCAAAAGCAAGCAGGAGTAGCTATTCTTATACCAAACAAAACAAATTTTAAAGCAATAGCAGTTAAGAGAGACAAAGAGGGACATTATATAATGGTAAAAGGCCTTGTCCAACAGGAAAATATCACAATCCTAAACATATATGGACCTAACACTGGAGTTTCCAGATTAATAAAACAATTACTAGTAGACCTAACAAATGAAATAGACAACAACACAATAACAGTGAGTGACATCAATATTCCACTGACAGCACTAGACAGGTAATCAAGACAGAAATTCAACAACAAAAAAATAGATTTAAACTATACCTTGGAACAAATGGACCTAACAGATATATACAGAACATTCCATCCAACAACGGCAGAATTCACATTCTATTCAACAGCACATGGAACTTTCTTCAATTAGACCATATCATAGGTCACAAAATGATCCTCAATATATTTAAGAAAACTGAAATTACATCGAGCACTCTCTCACACCACAGTGGAATAAAACTGGAAGTCAACTCCAAAAGGAACCTTCCAACCCACGCAAATACATGGAAATTAAATAACCTGCTCCTGAACAATCCAATGATCAGGAGCAAAAACGAAATCAAAGTGGAAATTAAAAAGTATTCAAACTGAATGACAATAGTGACACAACCTATCAAAACCTCTGGGATACAGCAAAAATGGTGCTAAGAGAAAAGCTCACAGCCCTAAACACCTACATCAGAAAGACTGAAAGAGCACAAACTGACAATCTAAGGTCTCACCTCAAGGAACTAGAGAAACAAGAAGAAACCAAACTCAAACCCAGCAGAAGAAAGGAAATACCCAAGATCAGAGCAGAAGTAAATGAAATTGAAACAAAAAAAAATAGAAAGGATAAATGAAACAAAAAGCTGGTTCTTTAACAAGATAAATAAAATTGATAGACCATTAGCAAGATTAACCAAGAAAAGAAGAG
Organism: Homo sapiens; assembly: GCF_000001405.40. Taxonomy (NCBI): domain Eukaryota; kingdom Metazoa; phylum Chordata; class Mammalia; order Primates; family Hominidae; genus Homo; species Homo sapiens. The sequence goes on from NC_000014.9 coordinate 38,813,032, forward strand.
AGGAAACCCAAATAAGCTCAGTAAGAAATGAAATGGGAGCTATTACAACTGACACCACAGAAATACAAAAGGATCATTCAAGGCTATTATGAACACATTTACACACATAAACTAGAAAACCTAGAAGAGATGGATTAATTCCTGGAAAAATACAACCCTCCTAGCTTAAATCAGAAATAATTAGATACCCTGAAATAACCAATAAAAAGCAGTGGGATTGAAATGGTAATTTAAAATTACCAACATAAAAAAGTTCAGGACCAGATGAATTCACAGCATAAGTCTACCAGACATTCAAAGAAGAATTGGTACCAATCCTATTGACGCTATTCCAAGAGAGAGAAAGAGGGAACCCTCCCTAATTCATTCTATAGAGCTAGCATCACCCTAATACCAAAACCAGAAAAGAAAATAACCAAAAAAGAAAACTACAGACCAATATCCCTGAAGAATATAGATGCTAAAATCCTTAAAAATATACTAGCTAATTGAATCCAATAACATATCAAAAAGATAATCCACCATGATCAAGTGAGTTTCATACCAGGGATGCAGGGATGTTTTAATATATGCAAGTCAATAAATGTGATACACCACATAAACAGAATTAAAAACAAAAATCACATGATCATCTCAATAGATGTAGAAAAAGCATTTGACAAAATCCAGCATCCTTTATGATTAAAACTCTCAGCAAAATTGGCATACAAGGGACATACCTCAATGGAATAAAAGCCATCTATGACAAACCTATAGCCAACATAACACTGAATGGGGAAAAGTTGAAAGCATTCCCTCTGAGAACTGGAACAAGACAAGGATCCTCACTCTCACCACTCCTCTTCAATACAGTGCTGGAAGTCCTAGCAATCAGATAAGAGAAAGAAAGGGAATCCAAATTGGTAAAGAGGAAGTCAAGAATTCAACCCCTTTTACAATAGCTGCAAAAATAAAATAAAATACTTAGAAATATACCTAATCACGGAGGTGAAAGACCTCTACAAGGAAAACTATGAAACACTGCTGAAAGAAATCACAGACGACACAAACAAATGGAAACACAACCCATGCTCATGGATGGGTAGAATCAATATTGTAAAAATGACCATAGTGCCAAATGCAATCTATAAATTCAACACAATTCTCATCAAAATATCACCATCATTCTTCACAGAATTCGAAAAAACAATTTTAAAATTCATAAAAAGAGCCCACATAGCCAAAGCAAGACTACGCAAAAAGAACAAACCTGGAGGCATCACATTACCTGATTTCAAACTATACTGTAAGGCCATAGTCACCAAAACAGCATCGTGCTGGTATGAAAACAATCACATAGACCAATGGAACAGAACAGAGAACTCAGAAATAAACCCAAATACTTACAGCCAACTGATCTTTGACAAAGCAAACAAAGATATAAAGTGGGGAAAGGACACCCTTTTCATCAAATGGTTCTGGGATAAATGGCTAGCCACATGTAGGAGAATGAAGCTGGATCCTCATCTCTCACCTTATTCAAAAATCAACTCAAGATGGATTAAGGGCTTAAATCTAAGACCTGAAACTATAAAAATTCTAGAAGATAATGTTGGAAAAACCCTTCTAGACATTGGCTTTGGCAAGGATTTCATAACCAAGAACCCAAAAGCAAATGCAAAAAAACAAAGATAAATAGCTGGGACCTAATTAAACTAAAGAGCTTTTGCACAGCAAAAGGAACAGTCAGCAGAGGAAACAGACAACCCACAGATTGGGAGAAAATCTTCACAATCTATACACTGGCAAAGGACTAATATCCAGAATCTACAATGAACTCAAACAAACCAGTAAGAAAAAAATAAACAATCCCATCAAAAAGTGGGCTAAGGACATGAATAGACAATTCTCGAAAGAAGATATATAAATGGCCAACAAATATGTGAAAAAAAATAATCAACATCACTAATGATCAGGGAAATGCAAATCAAAACCACAATGTGATGCCACCCAACTCCTGCAAGAATGGCCATAATAAAAAATAAAATAAAAATAAAAATTTAAAAAAAACAGTAGATGTTGGCATGGATGCGATGAACAGGGAACACTTCTACACTGCTGGTGAGAATGTAAACTAGTACAGCCATTATGGAAAACAGTGTGGAGTTTCCTTAAAGAACTAAAAGTAGAACTACCATTTGATCCAGCAATTCCTCTACTGGGTATCTGCACAGAGGAAAAGAAGTCATTATACAAAAAAGATACTGCACACTTGCACATGTATGTTTATAGCAGCATAATTCACAATTGCAAAATCATGGAACCAACCCAAATGCCCATCAAGCAACGAGTGGATAAAGAAACTGTCATGTATATATGTGTGTGTAGATATAGATAGATAGATAGATATCTACACACACACATATATATATACACACACACATATATATGTATATACACACACACACACACAATGGAAGACTATTCAGCCATAAAAAGGAATGAATTAATGGCATTTGAGTGACCTGGATGAGATTGGAGACTACTATTCTAAGAGAAGTAACTCAGGAATGGAAAACCACATATCATATGTTCTCACTGATATGTGAGAGCCAAGCTATGAGGACCCAAAGGCATAAGAATGATACAATGGACTTTGGGGACTTTGGGGGAAGGGTAGGAGCGGGGAAAGGGATAAAAGTCTGCAAAGAGAGTGCAGTGTATACTACTCAGTTGATGGGTGCAGCAAAATCGAACAAAGCCCACTAAAGAACTCACTCATGTAACCAAACACCACCTGTACCTCAATAACCTATGCAAAATTTTAAGAAAAAAAATAAAGAATTATAAATAAATAAATAAATATAAGAGGTACTTTCAGCAGGTGGCCTCTTTTGGTTCCTTTGCTGTTCCACAAGGTGAACAGAGTCATGTAGGAAAACAAAAGCATATTTGAATGCTGACTATCATTTGTTGATGATGGAACTTTAGCAAATCAAGTAATCTCCCTGAGCCTCTCTCTGTTTTCTCATTTGCCTCATTCCTTTGTCTCAGTGACAAAGGAATCCTGCTTTTTGAAAGCTGCAAAATGCTAGAGAAATACTAGTTATTATTACTATCTGCTAGTTCAAAGTGTTCAAAGAGACATACATGATTTCTATGAACATACCAGAGATAACTTTAAGAAGAGGAACAATGGGTTAATCATCTAAATGATGTAGTGGAATATGAGGGGGCTAGAACCCAACTCTCCCAAAAAAGAAATAAGCCCATCCCTTACCCCTAGTATACCAAAATACTTGATATTCCATCACTGAAAATTCAATTTTCTCTAACAATTCAATTTCTCTAATAGTGTCAACACCTCAGGGCGAGCTTAGCTCTTATCACCGCATACCCGTATTTCATAATGCCTAACACAGAGTAGGTGATCAAAAAGTACTAGATAACCATGGAAAAGGGTTTGTCTCTACAAATTCCAAGTTTAAATTCCAACAGAATTGCAAGGTATGTTGAGGTTTTGTGAATCATTGACTCTTTAAATGGTTACCTACTGTAGTGGATGCTACAGTGCAATGCTCAGACCGCCACACCGGAGAACTGAAGCACACATTCCCATGGCTACAGGAGTGTTGAGTACCGGTGGTCCAGAGCTTTCACCTAAGTCCCTTCTTAGACTTGCCCTCAGCTAAAAAGAACCACCTCACCCAAAATCATACCTTCACCCCCACCCCACACAAGGGTATAAAGGCCCAGCTTTCATGTCTTAATTTGGGCCCATTCTAAAGGACAGTCCTACTCCAGAGCTCTCTGTGGGATCAGCTGAAGTTTCTGTTACAAATTCATCAACTTCTCCCTGTACCCAATCCTGCCTCCTTCACTCTCCAATAGGTGTTGATCCCTAGATCATTCCCAAGTAAACTTCCAGCATATAAAATATTCATCTCAGGGTCAGTTTCCTGGGAAAACTCACCCATGTTACCTATTCCTCCCATAAATACAGTTAGCTCTAATACTTCAGTTTTCAAAGAGCTTGAGATGGTGCAAAGGACACACATCCATTTCGATGAGTGAGCTCAAGTAAGAAACCATATTGGGAAACCAGGCCTGCCTTTTGTGCCATTAGAAACCTAATAACTATACCAGAAAGATGGTAATTATGGTCATGCTTTTACGAGAAAGCTTAGCTTTCATCAAACCTCTCAAATTTTTTCCTCTTATGATATATTAAGAAGACACCCAAGTTCTGAATTTTCTTGCTGTGTTTTATCAGGACAGCATGAAAATGCAATTGCTGATCAATAAGAACTAGTTTGTGGTATCTTTTCACACTGTCTCTTTGAGTCACTGGAATGTAACTGTGAAGCTGCTGGTATATTTTCCAAGCTGAGTTATTTGGCCAATGTAACTTTACACATCGAGTAAGTGTTAAAATTGATGGGAGCAGAATCATTTTTATTGCATTCTGAGAAAAACTATTAATTTAAAGGAATAGTTTACTAAATGTCATTTATTGCATTGATTTTAATCTATAACAAGTATATACATAAATTATACTTATTTAATTACATTAAAGAAGCATCAACACACACAACCTGGAAAATACTTGATGTCAAGGGACTACTGAATAGAGAACTTCACTATTTGTGTCATTTAAAGGCAACATACCTGGGATTCACTAAATTTAGTTCATTCATTTAACAAACGTAATTTGAGCCTACTTTGTGTATTACAACTCTGTACCATCTCAAGAATGTGAACAAAATGGAAATCATGTTTACTTTTACTTTGAAAGCATTTTGCCTGACAGAGTTTGCTATTCCTGTCAATCTGCTCAACAGTTTCAATCACGAAGTAATTCCAAACCAGAAGGAAAGATGAACAAATCAAGCTTTGTGGGCTGTCCATCTTTCATGACTTTTAAAAATTCTTAATGAGAACCAAATCATCACTGGCTCTGGAACTTTATTCTCTCTCTAAAATCTTAAAGGCTGGTCACTTAGACCCTCCTTCAATCTCCTTAGAAGATTTTAAAAATCCAGTAGGAAAATATATTTTTAACTTCACAGCCCTGATTGAATATTTTTAGCAGACTCAAATCTGGGTTCCAGCAAGGTAATTTAATGGTCTCCATGGTAAAAGAAATGTAGGGTTATTTTCTAACAGCATGGTACATTAAAAAATAAAAATTGTTCTTATGCTTGATGTAGTAGAAGATACAAACACTTTGATTACACTCAGTCATTACCTTTTTCATCTCTCTGGACAAATAAAATGTCAAGGAAATAAATATTTTCTATATATATATATATATATATATATACTATCATGAACAAAATGAAGATTTTATTTCCATAAAATATGAATAAATTTCAATTGAACTGGACAGTGTTGCTGAAACTTAGCCCAATATTTAATACAGAAATATGATCAGATGAGTTAATATGGATGAAAATGCTTGGTAAACCCAAAGAATTAGCAAAGATGTATGATCATTACTAATCAGCTGTGTGACTAATTTATGTGGTACCAAATAAGAGACTTTAAATTTTAGCTAGCACTGCAAAACCCATCCTGTAAAATCCTGCATACTTGAATCTGAAAATGATTGATGCTGACAAATTACAGGTTCTTTCTGAATATTCTTCCAAGAGTGATATATTTTCAAAACAAGTAGGAACCAGCCAGCTTAGAAGATGACAAAAACACATAATGTGTGCTGTTAATTGCTGACATTTACATAGAGTTGACACCAGATATCGCTTATGATAGCAATTACTAATAGCAATTTGCATATCCAGAGCCCATAATGAAATTTTGCTAAATTCAATTTTTAAAATTTTATTTTCAACCTTCATGCTAATGTTCTTTTTATTAATGTGAAGTATAGAACAAGGCTTCCCAACATTTTTTATTATACACATAAAAGCTGATAATGTTTGTAGCAGTTCCCTCCTGGCCACCCTGAGGAATGAGAGAAGTGACATTTAGGCACACCTAAAACCAAAGTGGGGTACTATCTTAACATGGTCAGTTTTGCAGAGATCATCTGTTCTATAGTTCTGTAATGCAGCAAACCATGCCAAGCAAAGAATAAGTCCTAGATCTTTATAATTAAGGTAAAATCTTATTATAAAAAAATCTTAAAGTTATTTTCACATTTTTATTGAGTTAATTACAATGAATTACATATAACACATGGTTCATGGCCATGTCAGTTCTCCTTGTTGTTGGGATCAAGCCCCCCAAAATCTGGCCATAAACTGGCCCCAAAACCGGCCATAAACAAAATCTCTGCAGCACTGTAACATGTTCATAATGGCCCTAACGCCCAAGCTGGAAGGTTGTGAGTTTACGGGAATGAGGGCAAGTAACACCTGGCCCACCCAGGGCGGAAAACCGCTTAAAGGCATTCTTAAGCCACAAACAATAGCATGAGCGATCTGTGCCTTAAGGACATGCTCCTGCTGCACGCTGCTGCTAGCCCCACCTACTCCTTTAATTCGGCCCATCCCTTTGTTTCCCATAAGGGATACTTTCAGTTAATCGAATATCTATAGAAACAATGCTAATGACTGGCTTGCTGTTAATAAATATGTGGGTAAATCTCTGTTCGGGGCTCTCAGCTCTGAAGGCTGTGAGACCCCTGATTTCCCACTTCACACCTCAATATTTCTGTGTGTGTGCCTTTAATTCCTCTAGCACCGCTGGGTTAGGGTCTCCCCAACCGAGCTGGTCTTGGCACATTGTCTATAACACAATACTTCTATTTTGTTGTTTTGTTAGGAAACACAGGCGGCATTCTTACCAGAAAAATCTGAAAGGCAGGAGTATGTAACAAGCTGATTAACCACATTGGCTATTGCAAAAACAAAGATCTGTTACTTAATCTAAAAAGAAACTGCCCTTTTTCCCACAGTGGGTCCAAGAGCATGAGAGGATTTCCTGTGGACCAAATATGGACCATTCTGAAAAACAGTCTGAAGTTGTTTGAAATCTTACCCAAGAAAATCCTACCCTGAAAGGAAGAGCAAGAAGACACCAACAGAGGTCTTGAAAAAAGGGACCACATGAGAACTAGGGGCTGAAGGGGTAGTCCCTTCCAGCAGCCCAGGGCTAGAAGAGCCCCCAAGGGGAGGCTCAAATAGCCCACAAAAGTGTCCACAAGGTAAGGGCAGCTATAAATGCCTGTCAGGCCCATATATGCGTCATATATACGCATCCTGCGTCACTGCTGAATCAACACCATCCTGCATCACTGCTGAATCAAATTAGAATATCTGGGACCTTCCCCTCCCCACCAACTCCACAGCTAGCAAATGGAAGAGGCTGGGAGGCGGAAACAAAGCTTCTTACCCCTAGTCCTCAACAGCAGCCTTAGGTTCTTGATGGGGTGAAGGGAGATTTGAGATTAAGTCACACTAAGAATTTTCATCATTGTTGAACATCAGACATTCTGTTTTCTGAGTTGAGACTATCTGTAGCTTTAAGTGATGTTAGGACTATTACCTAAAAAATCACCAAAAAAGTCCTGAGACCTGCCTAGGTTTCATCCTGGGGAGGGAATTATAGTCACCCCCAGTGAGTATACATTAAAAGACCATGAGGGATAAAAAATTAACTTGTGCTTATTCATGTTATAGATTATACAGAAATTTGCTTAAAACAGAACACCTGTAAATGTACTGCCTTTTCATGTTTACCTTAAACTTTATGAACCTGCTCTGAGTGGCATACCAAAAATCTGGCCTTTTCAGGACATTTTATAAGAGGAATCCAAGTTTCAAAGTTGTCTGAGAATGTAATTGACCATCTGGAAGAACCAAAAATGAAATCAAAGTCTACATGAGATAAGAAAATCTTCAGGCAAACTCAGGACCTGAAGTCAATTTCAAAAAAAAAAGAAAATATGGAATTTAAGTTATCAAAGAACATATAAACTAGAAAACAAAGCTACATATCTCATGAAAAATCAGAAAATTACTTCAAGCTATCAAAATTATGACCTAAAAATATTGCAAATAGAAAAAAAAATGGTTGTTAGAGCAATGATACATCTAATTTTTTTACCTGCAAAATTTCTTTCTTTTGAAATTTCATAAGATCCCTGCTGTCAAGTAAAGACTAATTTAGTAATGATGCTAAAAGAATATGAAGCTTTCTATTCAGGTTTTCAAAAAGCTTTTTTATTTTGACTTTATATAAAATGAATTTTTGGAGAGAAGTCTGGGATTTTATAGGAGTGACTTCTTCTTTGTGTACAGTGGTATTGACTGACCAATTGGCTTAAGAAAACATGGATGATAAGTTAGTATGGAAGAAAAAGAAAATCAAGGAGAGACAGATAATGTAGACTATTTTCAAAGCAACCTTGTACTTTTTAAAAATCACTTATTTTTAATTATGATAAAATATAAATAACATAAATTTTACTATTTTAATCTTTTGTAAAAAATTTTTAGAGACACCATCTCTCTCTGTCACCCAGGCGGGAGTGCAGTGGCAGGATCATAGCTCACTGCAGCCTTGATCTCCTGGGCTCAAGCAATCCTCCTGCATCAGCTTCCCAAGTAGCTAGAACTGCAAACACAGGCCACCACACCCAGCTAGTTTTTTCTAGTTTTTGTGGAGACTGAGCCCTGCTCTGTTGCCCAGATTGGTCTCAAACTCCTGGACTCAAGTGACCCTCCCATCTCAGTCCCAAAGTGTTGGGATTACAGATTACAGGCATGAGCCACTGCACCTGCCTTCTGTTTTAACCGTTTTTTTGTTTTTCTTTTTTGTTTTTGTTTTTTAATGGAGTCTCGCTATGTCGCCAGGCTATAGTGCGGTGGTGCGATCTCGGCTCACTGCAACCTCCACCTCCCGGGTTCAAGCGATTCTCCTGCCTCCACCTTCTGAGTAGCTGGGACTACAGGCACGTGCCACCAAGCCCAGCTAATTTTTGTATTTTTAGTAGAGACGGGATTTCAACGTGTTGGCCAGGATGGTCTCAATCTCTTGACCTTGTGATCCGCCCACCTCAGCCTCCCAAAGTGCTGGCATTACAGGCATGAGCCAGGGCACCTGGCCTATTTTAACCATTTTAAGTATACATTTCAGTGGCACTAAGTACATTCACATTGTTGTACAACCAATATCACCATCCATCCACAAAACAATTTTCATCTTGCCAATCTCAAACTCTGTACCCATTAAACAATATCTCCCCATTCCTCCCTCCCCTTAACTCCTGACACCCACCATTCTACTCTCTGTCTCTATGAATTTGACTACTCTAAGTGCCTCATATGTGTGGAATCATATAGTATTTGTCCTTTTCTGTCTGACTTATTTTGTTTAGCATAATGTCCTCATGGTTTATTCATGTTATAGAATGTGTCAGAATTTTCATCCTTTTTAAGGCTGAATAATATTCCACTATATTTGTATACTACATTCCATTTATTCATTTATCCATCATGGACACTTAAGTTGCTTCCACTTTTTGGACTACTGTGAATAATGCTGCTAAGAACATGAGTTTACGTATATCTATTCAAAATCTGCTTTCACTTATTTGGGGTATATACCCAGAAGTGGAATTGCTAGATCATATGGTAATTCTATTTTTTATTTTTGAGGAACTGCCATATTGTTTTCCACAGCAGCTACACTACTTTACATGCCCACCAGCAGTGCACAAGGGTTGCAATTTCTCTATACCCTCACCAATACCTGTTTTCTGTTTCTTTTTCTTTCATAATAGCTATCCTAATGGGTGTGAAGTGATATTGCATTATGGCTTTGATTCATATTGCCCTAATGATTTCCTAGTGATGTTAAGTATCTTTTCATGTGCCCATTGGCCACTCATATATCTTCTTTGGAGAAATGTCCATTCAAGTCCATAAAGCAACCTTGTATTTTATTCTTTGTTAACTCTACAAATGATACCATATTAATGTTTTTAAAAATTGATGTTTTCAGCAATCACCACATCTATCTAGCAGCATAAAACAGTTCAAATTTCAGATCCTTTTTTTTTAATTTTTCATTTTTTGTAGTACTAGTATGCAAGCTTCTTTACAAAGAAAAAAATACCAACCTAGCTACTTTGGGATCCTGTTCAGCTCTGTGCTTGTAGATCTACACAACCACACAGACAATTAAGTGTAGAAGGCACTCTATCATGTCAGATGATACAGAGCTACACTGTCCAATATAATGGCTATAAACCTCATATAATTATTGAGCACTTAGAATATGGCTAATCCCAATTGAGATGTTTTATAAGTATAAAATTTACATCAGATTTCAAAGATTTAGTGATATGGTTTAGCTGTGTTTGCACCCAAATCTCATCTTGAAGTATAATCCCCATAATCCCCACGTGTTGTGGGAGGGACCCAGTGGGAGGTAATTGAATCATGGGGTCGGTTTCCCCCATGCTGTTCTCATGATAGCGAGTGAGTTCTCATGAGATCTAATAGTTGTATAAGCATCTGGTATTTCCCCTGCTGGCACTCATTCTCTCTCCTGCCACCCTATGAAGAGATGCCTTCCACCATGATTGTAAGTTTCCGGAGGACTTCCCAGCCATGTGGGACTGTGAGCCAATTAAACCTCTTTTCTTTATAAATTACCCAGTCTGGGGTATTTCTTCATAACAGCATGAAAATGAACTAATACACTTAGTATTTTATAAGTAATGTGAAATATCTCAATAGTTTTTAAACTGATATGTTAAAATAATATTTTAGATGTACTGAGTTCAATAAAACATGTAATTAGATTTAATCTCACCTGTTTCTTTTTACCACTTTAATGTGGCCATTGGAAAATTTTAAATGACATATGTGACTCTGATTTATGGCTCACATTCTGTTTCTATTGGACTGTAGATATAAATAATTGTGACTAAGTAGACCACTTCTATGATTGTGGATACACAAGTTAACTCAGAATTAGAAAATTTTCCATGTAATTCAAATTGTTTTTCAAAAACAAATTCTTTTCATTATTAGTATATTATATTGTCCAGAATTATCTAGGTGAATGCCATTATTCTATATTCAAATTTTTTAGTATAAACACTGCCTCTTGCATTTAAGTTTACCTCATGGGAATTTCTATGCCTGTTCAGAAATAAATTGTTGGAAACTCTTTTTAGTATAGTGGTAGAAGGGCAAAAAAGAGACAAACTCTCTCCATCAAGCCCCTTTTTTAAATATCATTTCAACTTTTATTTTAGATTCAGGGAATACATGTGCAGGTTTGTTACATGGGTATATTGTGTGAGGTTTGGGATACCAATGATCCCACCACCCAGGTAGTAAGCATAGTACCCAACAGGTAACTTTTCAACCCTCGCCCTCCTCCCTTTCTCCCTTCTAGTAGTCCTCACAGTCTACTGTTCTCATCTTTATGTCCATGTGTACCCAATGCTTAGCTCCCACTTATAAGTGAGGACATGCAGTATTTGATTTTTTGTTCCTGAATTAACTCACTTAGGACAATGGCCTCCTGTTGCATCCATGTTGCTGGAAATGACATGATTTCTTTATTTTATGGCTGCATAGTATTCCAAGATGTATATGTACTACATTTTCTTTATCCAGTCTACCACAGATGGGCATCTGGGTTGATCCCATGTCTTCACTATTGAACATACTAGTATGTGTCTTTTTGGTAGAAAAAATTTATTTTCCTTTGGGTACATACCCAATAATGGAATCACTAGGTCGAAAAGGAGTTCTAAGTTCTTTGCAAAATCTCCAAATTGTTTTCCATAGTGGCTGAAATAATTTGCATTCCCACCAGCAGTGTATAATCATTCCTCTTTCTCTGGAGCCTCACCAGCATCTTTTTTTTTAACTGTTTAATAATAGCCATTCTGACTAGTATGAGATGGCATCTCATTGTGGTTTTGATTTGTATTTCTCTGATGAGTGATGTGAGCATTTTTTCCTATATTTGTTGTCCGCTCATCCAGCCCTTTTATAATGGCATTAATCCATTCATAAGGGTAGAGTCCTCATTACCTAAACACTTCCCAAAACTCCCCACCTCCCAACACTATTGCACTGCAGATAAAGCTTTCAACACATGGGTTTTGGAGGACATATTCACATTATAGCAGTGAAGGACACAAAGGAGGGCTAAGATTATTAATTTATTTAAAGATAATTTTTAAAAACTGAGGCAAATCAGTCATGGTGTTAAATTTATGTGACAAAAAATATTTTGTCAGTATTATTTGAAGTATTTTCTAATTTTATTGATATAAAATCAAACTTATATTGGTAAATTCTCTTTCCCTTCTAACTTGTAAGAGCAAGTTATTGTTAAGAAATAGAAATAATTACAAGCTACACTTTTTCAGTCAGACTGGTAATACATTTTCTTTCAGCCTATTATCTGAGAAATGTTATGAAATCTTCAAACCCAATATTAACTAGATTTGTCTTTAAGATATATTTTGCAAACAACAATCAACTTTTGATTCAGGGAAGTTTCTCTAAACTTTCTTCTTATTCAAGATATCTGCTTCTGTCACAGCCTTCTTTCTTTCACTGCTTTCTGCAATAATAAGATCATCCTATAAGCTCCGTGAGCTGAAAATAAATGTATTCCTGAGGTAATCCTCTCTGGTCCCAGGTTTCTAATTAAAACATGGTACTCTGGTGTGCCTCTATTTATAATCAGAGAACTAAGAATTTATTGACAAAGGCTCTCCATTCCCTAATGCCCCCAGCCCTCCACACACAATTAAAATAAATAAATAAGATTTTTTTAAAGCAACGGGAGGCAGGGTGTTTTGAAAGTGTTTAAAATAACTGTAAATGTTCATGCATGCCAGTACCAACACACTTCACACCTCTTTGCTTTTTATTGCAACAGCACCTTTCACCAGGGAATCTGAAATTCTTTAGACATTTACACTTCACCTCACCAATGCACACCGACTTTGCTAGATCTCGCATTTCCTACTCAATTGCTGCTCAACCTGTCTCTCCATTTCTCTCCCTTCACCTTCCCTTCCTCTTACCTACTTCAAATTCAGTGTGCCTGAGCCTGAGTCTTAGCATAACAGAGAAGCATCTCTCCTCAGTTGGAACATCCTGAATCCAAGACAATGTTTATAAGTTCAGAATTGATTGAATTGTGAATGTTTTACATTATCTGCATTTTAAAATCTATCCTATGTCCATTAAGTAAATAGATTATATAATCAGCTGCTGATTTAATTATTTTGTTAGTTGTTACATTGGCATCGTGAAGCTCTTTCAAAACCTTCTGCAGTGGTTCCACCAAATCCTAATATCAAGTACATACTGAATTTACAAACAATTCTAAAAGAAAATTAATCAAAAAATCCTTGTGGTTCCATACATTGAAACAGAATAAACACAAAGCCCTTTGTACACAAGGCTGCCTTCCTAACCAACGCTTAGTGCAAGTAGGTGAACTACTTTAATTACCCAGAAAATTCCTTTTTAAAATGTGATTGCTATATTTGAAAGAAAAAAAATAACAATTTACAGATCTTAGTACTCTAAATACAATGTTTTGTGAAAACAGGTAAGTTTTATGTTTGTGGATTAACCAGGCTGGTTTTTAAATTGTACTCTACAGATCAGAAGCGATCAGTGAGAACCTCTCTTTCTACATGTAGTGCTGCCGCTGGGAAGAAATCGGTCATCATGAATATTCATTGGACACCACCAAGTGCTACACCAGACTGAGATGGAGAAGGAGAAAGAGAAATGGTCCATCAAATTAGAAGAAAAGCCCTTTTCATGATTTATGAAAAAGAGAACTATTAAACCTTATGCACTACAAGATTTTATGTCTTTTATGTCAACCTATGAATAACTTTTCCTCTGCAATATTCCAATTTTATTTTCCCTTTAATAATACAACTTTTAAGTACTAAGGATACATAAGATACTTTGTATTAATGATGCTTAGTCAGTCATGGATGCCTGACTTATTAAGGAATACTCAAAATATTCAAATATTTATGTTAGTAAATCTGCTTCAGACTACAAGGAAGAGTTGCTATCTGACTGCTTATGCAATGCTGCTCTGTCCACTACCTTCCTGTCTTTTTTTAAATTAGGTTCTATTGCCCAACTTGCCTGTTTTAAACATTTAGCCAATGTCCTTGAAGTGTTTTCATCATTATCAAGTAAAAATCTGAAAATGAGAATAGTATTAGTATCTACAGCTCTCTATTTTTGTCTTTAACTTATCATGCACCTATTTTGTGCTATTATATATATTCAGTATCTTGCATATAACCTTATTTAAAGAGTATAGCATCATTGTAAAGCAGATACATTAAGGTGTCTGTTTTACAGATGAAGAAATCGAGGTTCAGCAAGGACTTGCTCAAAGTCACACAACTGGCAAGTGACAGAGACTGGATATGAACTGAGTCAGACTCCAAATTTTGACTCAAAAAAGACACTACCTTTGTGCTCTATAAAGTGCATTCATTAGGGCCTTTATCATGCCAGTCTGTCAGCAATTGTGTTCCCCCTGGCTCGGAGCCTTTCCTCCACACTTCAATCAAATAGAAATCCCTCATTGCAGTTGAGAACTAAGTGGAGTTACTGGCCCAAAGCATTCAGGTTAGCTCTATGGATAGTTTCCAAGTTGACCAAATCGTAACTGACCTGTTGAGAGACACAGGTGATTCAGGAGATAATTTTTTTCATACTATACTGGGAGGTGAATGGTAAAAAATACCATAGGATGAGGGAAACAAGGGGAAAATGAACAAAAACGATATCCATTATAACTACATAAAAAGAAACTGGCACACCAAACATCAGTGTTATTATGAAGAACTATTCACCATCTGAATCTGACCACAGTTAGAAAACCTGCCACATCACAAGCGCCTTGGATAATAAAAACATCTATTTCAAATGTTTTCCTAAAAAGCATTTTGAAAGAATAAATAAGATTTCAAAATAGAAAAAAAAATCTAACTGCATAAACTGAACACAATGCTGAATGCTATCCTCATCCAAACTGTCTTTCCTTTATCTTACTTATCACCTTCAATATACAATAAAAGTTCAGCCACAAAATCAGCTTAGAAAGGAGAATTACCTGGCCTAACTGCATAGATTGATTTGATAGTGAGATACTTTCCTGCAAAGACATTTATGTGTTATCTGGAAGAACTTTTAGCTCTTCATTTTAAGTTTTACCAGCGATTGATTTATTATAGGAAAAAGATTCAATTTTTCCTCTTATGCTCAGCAATGTGATTTTTTTAAGAAACAACAAGGCGAGCATGAGAGTTCGTGTCTGTAATCCCAGCACTTTGGGAGGCTGAAGTGGGTGAACCACTTGAGCCCAGGAGTTAAAGATCAGCTTGGGCAACATGGTGAAACCCCATCTCTACAAAACACTTAGCTAGGGGTGGTGGCACATGCCTGTCATCCCAGCTACTTGAGAGGCTGAGGTGAGAGGATCATCTGAGCCCAGAAGATCAAGGCTGCAGTGAGCCATGATTGTGCCACTGCACTCCAGCCTGGGTGACAGAGATAAGAGCCTGTCTCAAAAGAAAAAAGACAGGTTCAGTTCAAATAGGAAATCAGCATCTGTGGTTTCAGCTGGATTTCCCAAGTTACAGGGTTCACCTTCTGAATATGCTGCTATTCTTCCTCTTTTTGACGTTTCTGCACTTCCTAAGATCTCTAGCCCATAATCTTGCTCTAGAGACTACCATCTTTGAAACCTAACTCTCTCGTACTCTTACATACATTTTTGGTTTAGATGCTCATTGCCTAACTCTCAAACTAGAACTCTTGTTCTTCTTGAGCAAGAAATCTTTTCCTTCCTATTTACTTTTGTTTTTCCAAAAGCTGGCACAAAATTAGCACTTAAAAATAACTTTTGGCTAGCTGACTATTTCAAGAGTTCCAAATGACTTGGACGGAGACACAATTTTAAGTCATCAAAGGTCCATGACAACATATAAACATTGGACTGTTTCAAGATGGAGGTCTGACTGGTGGTTTTTCTTCCCTTTTTTGGTGCAATAGAATTTATATATTTAAACATTAGGTCAGTTACCTAAAATAAGTTAAACATTAGACCAGTAACCTAGAAAGAAAACTTGTTTTGAGGTTGCTAGTAATTTGGGTTCCAAGTTTAATGAGCCAATAAATCAAATGCTAAAGAACAAGATGATTGAATTTGAGAAGACAGTAGAAATAAGGATGTACCCCTTAGAGAAACAAAGAGTTCCCCTAGATAAACAGAAGAAATGGACAAGGAGCAATAGAAATGGGGCAGTGAGTACAAGGCAACCTACAAAGTCTGGAAGTAGTCCTTAGGAAGTTGTTCAAGGAAGGTAAAGGGCCACAGCCTGATAGGAGTTGAAAGAGTAACTGACAAAGGACCATTAAGCCCAGAAGCTGACTAGAAAGTGAGTTGCTCAGGCAGAATGCCCAGCCCTTACTCTCAGCAAGAATGTCCCATTTTGTGTGCCCAGCAATGACACCAATTGTTCTTATTGACCTACATGCTCAGAACTTCACTTCGTTATCATCCAGCACCTCAACCACTGATTGCCCTGTGTGGACTATTTTCCTTAAACCTCATCAGCTTGTGCTAATGTACTCCAAGAAAGGGAGGTGGGACTGTGGACATCTGGTGGGTAAGGAAAATTATCAGCATATCTGGCAGGTAGGAAGAATTATTGGTACATCTGTACTGTGTGGGATGAAATGAACAAAGGGTGGTAAGATCCCTACTCTACTGGCATCAAAAACAGTTGAACCATCTATTCTCAAGTGTGGAATCCTTGAGGCTTTCAATGTAACAATGTCTTTGCAACTTCCTAGTGAGGCTACTCATCAAACATGGTAGTTTAAATATACCTGCTTTATTCTATTCCATCCTAAAATATCACCAGAATAATAACAGAATAGTAAAGGGGATAACAACAGATAAGAGATATTATAATTTTGGAAGACAGAAAGTAGATGGGCCAGTGTTAACTAGCAAAGCAGAGGAAATGAAACCTAAGTGCGTGGAACTGGGAAGCCACTATACAAGGAAGCTAGTTGGTGCTCCAGAATCCCAGGAAGCATGAGGAATTTGAGAAACTGCTTACTACAGAGGGTGAAGGGTGAAGAGTGGGACTAAAAACAAGAGTGTGGCTGAAAACCTATATAGAGGACAGTTATCTTCCCACCCTTTCACCCACCCCATCCAGCCAGAAAACTTCTCATACACTATTTCATCAGGAAAGGAGAGGTTTACTCTAGATAATTAAACCATCGATCTCCTTCTCCCTATCAACTTGTAAAATACTAGAAGTCGGAAAATTGGGGAATTCTTTTCTGGAGAGCTTGATCAGCTCAAGGGAAAAGAACTAATATTGAGAGCTGGGTGTCTTCTCCCACATAAACTACTAGATCTTTGCCCAATCAATAAGCCCAGCCAGATTTTAGTGTCTCAGTCAGATTCTTAGTGCCTCACTCTTTAAATACAAACAGTAAGCCAAGCATGTTAGCCTTTTGAGGAAAGCTTCAACATGAAAGACCTAAACAAACAAACAAAAATTTTAACAAAAACAGAACTCAGCAAAGAAAAGCAATATGGAGAGAAGCAGCAGTCATTTGTAATAAATAACCTCACAGGAATTAAGAGAGCATTACAGTCATAAAACAAAGTCAGGATGCTATGTTTCAAAAAGAAAATTCAGTGAACAATAAAGCAGTCTTCAAATTTAAAATATAAAATAAAATTTTACATTTTAACAAAAGAACTGAAAGATAAAATTTTTCATTTGAGTATTTCTTATAGTGTTTGAAAAATAAAGACATGAACAATAGGAGTACCACTAGAAATTACAGACAGAGAGAACAGGGAAAAAAAATCTATCAAAGAAATAAGATAATTCCCAGAATTGAAGAATATGGGTTTTCAAACTAAAAGGTTACACTGGGGGCCAAGGAGTGTCCCTTTGTAGCAGCTTTCAGATTAAAAAATCATATACAAAAGTTCAGCATAATAATAGCATCAGACTTCTCAACAGCAATACTATACTGGAAGCTAGAAGACAATGGAGCAATGCCTTCAAATATGACAGGAAATTTAGAATTCTATGCCCAAACTATCAAGTGTGACAATGAATAAGACATTTTCAAAAATGTAAGTTTTCAAAAAATAAATTACCTTCCACGCATCATTCTCAGAAAGTTATAGGAAATTGTAATCCGCTAAAACAAAGTGTTTATTAAACTCTTGATATCCTTTTGACACATGAAATACCTAGAGTGATATCCCCTCTTTTATTCCTTTTTTTTTTTTTTTTTTTTTTTTTGAGATGGAGTCTTGCTGTGTCACCCAGGCTGGAGTGCACGATCTCGGCTCACTGCAAGCTCCGCCTCCCGGGGTCACGCCATTCTCCTGCCTCAGCCTCCGGAGTAGCTGGGACTACAGGCGCCCGCCACCACACCTGGCTAATTTTTTGTATTTTTAGTAGAGACGGGGTTTCACCATGTTAGCCAGGATGATCTCGATCTCCTGACCTCGTGATTCGCCCACCTCGGCCTCCCAAAGTGCTGGGATTACAGGCGTGAGCCACCGCGCCCGGCCCCTTTTATTCTTAACATTAATTTATGTTTTCTCTCTCCTTTGATTTTCTATTATATTAAAATTTTATAATTTTATATATTATATTTATATTACTTGATATGTTTGTCTAGCATATTAATCTTTTCAAAGAATCCAATTCAACTTCATTAATTTTCTTTTTGTTATTATTTTCTTCTTTCTTCTTACTTTAGGCTTCACTTCCTCTTCTTTTTCTGGCTGCATAAGGTAGAAATTTGCACCATTTATTTTAAACCTTTCTTCTTTTTCTAATATGAGCATTTCAAGCTATAAATTTCCCTCTAGGTACTTTTTTAGCTGCTTCCCACAAGATTAGATATATTTTCATAATAATTTATTAAGAAATATTTTCTAACTCTCCTTATGACTTCTTCATAATAATTTATTGAAAAATATTTTCTAATTCTCCCCATTATTTCTTCTTTGACCTATGGGTTACTTAGTATTATTTAATTTCCAAATAATGGAGGATTTGTCAGATATATTACTGTCACTGATTTATAATTTAATTGGTTGTGGTCAGAGAATATACTCTATACAATTTCAATCTTTTGAAAATTTATTGAAATTAATTTTACGGTCTGGCATATGGTTTATCTTAGTGAATGCTCCATGTGTCTTTGAAAAAAATTGTATATTCTACCTTGTCAATTAGATCATGTTGATTGATAGTGTTTTCCAGATCTCTATTCTTATTTTTTTTTTTTGTCTAGTTAGTCTATCAGTTACTGGAAGAGAATTGTTAAAAAAAAAATATTCAGCTATGATTTTCCTATGTTTCTGCCTGTATTTAGTTGCTCCTCTATGTCTTCAAATAGTTGTTTTTCATATTTTGTTTAAAGTTTATTATTGTTAACTGCAGGATTAATCTGATACAAGCTGCTCCGTCATTACTAGAGGCAGAAAACTAACACTCCATTTTGAGAAAAATATTTGTATTCTAACGTTTGACTCAAATTTCTAAACATATTGTTTTATTTCCCATATCTGCTCCCCACCCTCAATCCTGCCATGATATCATGAAAGGTTCTGATACCAAAATATATCATTTCCCTTAGTAGACATTAAAATTACTTTCTTTCCCTTTTGTTTCTGTGAACAAGCATTATATTGCCCTTTATTGAAATGCCTTTAAAGCTTTATTGAAAACAGATAAACATAAGACAAGAGGAAAATCTTCTCATTCCACTAGCCTGCCCAATTTCCACCTCTTCTCTCTAAAGGGGAAAAGGAACAATTATGAGAGGACATAGAAAACACAGGAGACCCTGTCTATCTGTGGAAAATATTTTCTAGAAATTCCAGAAAAGAGAAAATTCATAACCATGAGAGGGATTGGTCCTGACCAAACTACAAGGTAACAGAAGAGATTGATATTTGGCAATCAGAAGAATTGAAAAGGCCATGCTGAGATTTAAAGGGGCAGTTTTGGAGAGAAATGAGAACTGCCTGTTGCTACTGAATACATGCACTCTTTCTGCACAGTACAAAAATCCAAAACCATGAATCTCAAAATCCCATATCATAAGTTATATCACCATTATAAAAAGCAATTTTGCCAAAGCATCTATTTTATGTGGCAGTATCCTAAAAGCTCATAAATATTTGAGCTGCAGACAGACATTTTTCTGAAAATTGAAACTAACTTCATAACTCTGCGTTACCTTTTGGAAGGTGTAGAAGTAAAACTTATCCAGCCTGTAGGACAAAGCCATCTGTCCTATTCTTATCCCTGTGAAAAGCTTTTTTCTAGCTGAGCTTTTTTTCACGGGAGCACATGAGTCCTCTCAAGTTCTGGCACATTTAATTGCCCCACACCCACTCTGCAATAGTCCAGATAGAAGATCAAAGAAGAGATGAGAAGAACTAGTCTATCTTGAAAAAGAAATCACTCTAACTTCTTCAATTATCTTAATGAAAAAGAGAAAAATAAAGAGGAAAAGAGAATGTGTGGTTCAGTAGAGAACACAAGTAAATTCAGAATCCCAAGGTTCCAACATTAACTCTGTTATTATCACAGTATGTGACCAAGCCATCAGTAATGTTTATACTGTTCATCTGTTAACTAAGGGCATGTACAGAGAAGGAATGAAACATAGGCCATGAAAATGAATGCAAGTATTTTTTATCTTAAGTGCCTAACATGTCCTGATACAACCATTCCTTTCTTTCCGTAGAACTACTGAAAACCTTGAAAAAGCTGGACTTTGATACTTTTCTCCAAATCTAAGACTGGCAGACAATCTCTTCAAGAAAACCTTCCTTAGCTACAACCACCGCTAACCTGGCATTCTCTGTTCCTTATTCTATATTGTTTTTCCTCATAGCACTTATCACTGTCTGAATATATATATGTGTGTGTGTATATATATGAATATATATGCAGATATATATGTACATATATATATTCCTCCATTTATTATTCAGACTATAATCTCCACTAGGAAAGAAAGGCACTTTGGTTCCCTGCTATGTCCCCAATATTTGGAAGCCATACCTAGCCTAGCCGTAGTAGAGACTAAACAAATGTTGATTGAATAAATGAATAAATCTAATGCTGGCAGTTAAAAAGAATACATAATGAAGCAGATTGAACTAATTCAGTATTTCTCATACTGAGATCTTGAATTATCTGGAAGTCAGCTACAAGTACAATCACACTGGCCGAGCACGGTGGCTCATATTTGTAATCCCAGCACTTTGGGAGGCTGAGGCAGGCAGATCATTAGGTCAGGAGTTTGAGACCAGCCTGGCCAACACAGTGAAACCCTATCTGTACTAAAAATACAAAAATTAGCTGGGCGTGGTGGCGGGCACCTGTAGTCCCAGCTACTCGGGAGGCTGAAGCAGGAGAATCGCTTGAACCCAGGAGGCAGAGGTTGCAGTGAGCCGAGATCGTGCCACTGCACTCCAGCGTGGGTGACAGAGCTAGACTCCGTTTCAAAAAAAAAAAAAAAGTACAATCACACTGATAGGTGAGGCTCTAAAGACATTTCATCCTAGGCTGTAACAATTCCATAATAGTTCACTGCGTTCCTGGTACCTTACACTGCTGAATGACTTCTATGGGCTAAATTCAGTATTTTTGCAACTATTCCAGTTCTCTATAGCCTACTCACATGGCTTAACTTAACAAAGGATTTTCACACTGGGTACTTAAAATAAAGGCAGAAGGATATCCATATATTGAATATGTGGACAAAGGAAGAAATAGAAATACAATGAATCGACCCATCCTACAAATTCCACTCTGGGTCTCATAATAGGAGACCCTTATGACTGTAGACACATTTTCCTTCCTGGATTGTGGATTGGCTTCTTGGCTTTCCATCTTTTCCATTATCAGTTAGAGACGTAGGATATCATACTAACGAATAGCTATATTAGCAACAACAGCAATCTTATGCTGTCAACAGGGTGCATGCCACACCACCCCCCCGCCCTGCTCCACACACACACACACACACACACACACACACACACGCATACACTCTGCTCCTTTAGAACAAAACTAGCTTCTCACTGATCTCTCTACCTCAGAGCCCATTTACTCCTAAGGCCCAACAAAGAGGATAGGGTTTTTACGGTACCAGCAAGACGATGGTGGCCCTTGGCCTCCCGGTGCAGAGTGTCAGTCCCGCACTGGGAGCGTGGAGAGGTGTGTGGGAAGCAAGCCTTTCTTGAAGTGGGGCCAAGAGAGAGAAGTCAGCAGCTCCTTAGCCCTCACGCTTCCAAGGAACAGAGAATGATGGAGAAGCCTGCAGGCAGAAAAAAGAAGACGCTGACCCAGAGGGAGAAAGCCGATGCGCAGAAGAGCGTGCCCAGAGAGGAGAAGGCCTCCGGGGACAGAAAGCCACCTGAGAGGCCCACTGTGCCCAGGAAGCCCTGCACAGAGCCCCACCTGAGTCCTGAAGAAGAGCACATCTTTGATGCCTTCCACGCTTCATTTAAAAATGCCTTTGAGGGGGTTCCCGTGTTCATTCCTTTTCAGAGGAAGAAACCCTAAGAGTGCAGTTAATGGAGGTGGATCTTTAAGCATAAGACAGACCACATTCGCCATCAGAGGGTCCACACCGGACAGAAGCCCTTCAAGTGTTAGCAGTGAGGGAAGGCCTTTCGGCACAGCTTTGATGTCACCAAACACCAGAGGACTGACGCTGTTGGCCTTCATCAGACGTGTTGCCTGGGGGGTGTTCTGCTCTGGGGAGCGCACTGGAGGGGCCACCCCAGCTACAGGTGGGCAGGTGAACCACCAGAGGGGAGCCGTGGCACCTATGGCCTCCTGACGGTCCTGCCACCACAGTCGCTGCATGGCCTTCATGGTTTCTCAGTGGTCCTTGGTCCCGATGGCGGGTACGTGGCACGTCCGTGGTGTCGTGTACCTGCCTCTGTGATGACCGCGTCTGGCACTGCGGGGCATGTGCTGGGGAGGCCAGTCTCCCTGTGGGGCTCCCCCAGTCTGTGGTCAGCTCACTGCTGTCAGCATGGGGGTGAGGGAGCGAGTGGGGGCGGCCTCAGCCTCACCTAGACAGACTGTCCCTGGATGCCGCCGGCAGACCACAGCCGGTGTTGCCCCCCACAGGGCAGAACATCCTGGTGGGCCCCCTGCCCCAGATCTCCTTATGCAGCCGTTCCCTGTGTGTCCTGAGGCTGGACGGCCTCAGCCAGCTGTCACCAGGAGAGGAGGGCTCACACTCCCAAAAATGGACATCTCAGGAGGTAAAATTGTTCAGAAGCAGGCATCAAAGCACAAGTGATGTGTGATCCTGGATCAGAAGAGTTGTGAAGGACCTTGCTGGGTCGTTTGGCAGACCTGGAGTGTAGACCAGGCACAGTCGGTGCCAGCTCAGCAGCGACAGGACAGTCCTCACTGACATCCTCCTACTACAGATGCACACTGAGGCTCTCAGCCACAGAACGTGACATCTGCAGTTCGTGCCAACAGTGTGTACATGTCACTGGAGAGTGACAGAGGAGACTGGCTAAATGTCAGTCACTGGGGAATCTAGAACACAGGGCTGATAGGATGGACCCCCAGATGCAGAATGATATCTCACCAGGTCATGCCCACAGAGACACCAGCAGCAGCGCACGGCTGGCCGGACCACCTCGGCCTCTCTAGCAGCGGGCAGGCTGATAGAACAGATCACCCCCAAAGGGGAAAGTTCCAGATGAAATATGCATAAGAAGCAACCTCAAAACTAACAAAAAAGATTTGCACATTTCTCAGTTCAAAGGAGGAGCAGAGATTAAGAAAAAGAGAATAAAAGTGCTCAAAAGAGAAGAAAAAGAATCTCCTACTGTGTAGCGGGCTCCTGGCCCAGGGAGGATGGTCTGCAGCAGAGTACATGCAGGGAAGCACCCTCTGAAATGCCTAGAAATAGCTGCAGGGCTTTCACTTGGTTCCCATCAACGGTCAAAACCATCACAGTGGGCAACTTTGCACCAGTGACCAGTCAGTGCTCACTGTCCTCAGGCCACTGCAGAGCCATCCTAGTGGGGCAGGGGCTCCTGACTCCAGTAAGGCCACCCTGGAGGGGAGTCCCAGGAATCAATCTGATGTTCAGAACCTTCCTGGCATCTCAGAAGTGTACTAGGGGAGAGGTGAGGACCCTTTGGCCAAGTGTCAGCGTTCTCACTGCAGGAGAACATTAAAGCCACAACCCAGAAACTTCTCAGGAGCATGGCACACCCACACCAGCCCTAGGCTCTGCCTGGACAGCACCTCCTGGGCAGCACCTCCTGAGCTGCCCTGACCAGCAGACACCATCCTCCCAGCCTCATTCAGCCGCCCTGACCAGCAGGCACCATCTTTCCAGCTTTGTTCGGCTGCCCTGACCGGTGGGTACCTCCCTCCCTGCCTCGCTTGGCCACCCTGACCAGAGGGCTGCCCTGACCAGCAGGCACCATCCTCCCAGCCACGCTCAGCTGCCCTGACCAGCGGGCACCATCCTCCCAGCCTCACTCGGCCGCCCTGATCAGAGGGCTGCCCTGACCAGCAGGCAACATCCTCCCAGCCTCGCTTGGTCGGCCAGGCTCTGCGGGCCTCAGAGTGCAGGGAATCTCTGAATGTTGTGACTTTGCTCTCCTGCAGGGACCTGCCATGGAGTGTCCCTTGTGCAAGCATTTTGTGAGCTATGCCAGCATCTGTCCCCACACGCCCCATCCCTGAGCCATTTCCCAGGAGAGCAGGAAGTGAGCACAGGGAGGGGCACTCCCAGCCAGCCCTGGGACCAGAGGTCTGGGGACGCAGCCGGCCACCACGGCAGAGCCCTACTAGTCTGGGCCTCTGTTTCCTCTTCCACACAGGGAAGCAGGGAGGGGCTGATCAGCAACTTAGGCTTGTTGGCTCTGGCGGAGGCCACCTGCATTTCTGGGGAGCCCATGGACCCTGGGGTGCGTGTGGGCTTTATTCCCAGTGACCTCTCCTATTGGTCCCCATTCTGGGCACTGAGATGTGATTGTTTCTTTCCTGTGAATGAGCTGACATCAAAACATGCTGCAGAGGAAGATGGGCCTTAGGGGCAGCATCCTGCGCCTCTGCACCAGGAGGAAGGTTGTGTCCCCAGGGGAGACTCAGAGCTGAGGCGGTGATGGGCAGGGCTCCTGTGGAGCCAGGGTGGGGCAGGGTGTCTCCAAGGTCACTGGGGAACAGCTGAGGCCCAGGGAACACAGGGAGGATGGGGTGCGCTCCAGGATCAGGCAGTCAGGGAGCCTCTTGCTTGCAAGCCTGGTGTTGGCACTCTCCTGGTTTCTTCCGCAAACTCAGCTAGCCACACGTTCAGGGAGCCTGGGCTGAGCAGGCGGCCCCCACCTTGACAGAATCCCCGGGATCCTGCGTGGAGGTGGGGGGTACTTCACAGCCGAGACTAGGCCTGATGCTGCTCTCCCACAGTCACCCTCTCCACAGGGGGCTCTCCACAGTCTCTCCACAGGGGGCTCAGGGCAGGGCTCCAGCCTGAAGGGGGGTTCCTGGATACGGCTCTGAGCCAGGAGCCCCTGCCCCCACACACACCCCTGCACCTTCCACGCCTGTCTCGCCCTGGGGCCCAGGTGCAGTTTTGTGGGGAGCGCAGGGCCGTGCTCTCGTGACCACCGCTCAGCCGAGTGGATTCAGCGAGAGTTTTCAGTGTTTGCGCCTCTGTCCCCGTGTGCCTGTTTCCTGGTGAGGCTGGACTCCTGGCATGTCTGAACACTCACATTCCCCAGGCATGCATGTGCAACCGCCGCCATGCGTGTACTGTGACGCTGACCCCTCCTGTAGCAGCCATGGTCTTGGCCTCTCGCGTTGCTGGCAGATGTTGTCCCATTTCCCACTGTTACTTTCTGTCGTCCAAAAGTTTGACTGTCCTGCCAGCCAAAGCTGTTGAGCTTTACTTTGACGGACCATCAGTTCTTGGTAAGTGTCCTGTGCATTTGGGATAAGCGTCCATTTGTTTTCAGCTGCGCTTCCTGTGACTTGCTCTGCGTGTGTCCTCCTCGGTCCCGGTGGGCTGCTGCATTGGTTCGCCTCCCTTCCCTGCTGCTTGCTGGCTTCTGTGTTCTCTGCAGTAAACACTGATTTCTGGAAAAAAAAAAAAAAAAAAAAGAACATCTTAAGTCACATCAAATTAATTTTAATTTATTGGTTTTCTGGAGAGGGTATTTAATCTGAGAATTCGTTTGCTTTTACAGTAGTATAGAGTTAGAAGTTTATCCCTAGCTTTAAGCTGGAATATTTTAAGAAACATTGTCATAAAAGCCCTTTAGTCAATGCTCAGGACCTATGAGAAATCAATCCATTAAAAGAGGATCATACATTACTAAAGTTTGAGAAACACTGAGATAGACAAAAATAAAACAATTATTGAATAGCCCGTTCTTCACTTCACGAAACATTGTTCCCTTTGTACCTGAAAGAAAATTAAAATACTGCTTCTCCCCATTATCTACACCTCCCTCAGAGACCATCCTATAAGCCAAATAGCAAAACAGGCAGCAGACCCCTAGACAAAAGCACTGATTTTTAAGGCAGCAAAATGTTACTGAACTATCCACGTACTCCTAACCCCACCCTACCTCCACCCTCAGACACCATATTCCTACATGCAGGGAGTTTGAACTCCCAGAAAACATCCAGACATAAAAAAATGACTCATTGCTCTAAAGTAATTATATTTCCATTAAAAAAAAAAAAAAAAAAACTTCTGCAAGTGAATGAGGCAGGAAGTGTCCTGGTAACTGTGCAAAGGAAAGGCTGCAGTCTTTGCATAACCTGTTTCCTTGAAGTGTCAGAGAAATACACACCGAGATATGAAGCAATCATAGTTATGTACAACAGAGCTGCCCTAGATAAGCAGCTGATAGACAGTGAGAACTGAGCTATGTACATCAACTTACCTTCATGCTATAAATATGAGGAAAGGCTTTGACTGACACCTAGATCCAAGGATCAGTGGTAGAAACTAAAAGAAAAACAACAACATGCCATCTATTTTTTTAACTTCAGAAAAAAAGTTATCTTAAAGATGGAAGGGAAGAACAGTCATCTGAAAACAATTTGCTACAGAAACCAAAATAACATTCTAGAAAACTTTTGACAATAACACGCAGGACCTGAAAGTCACAAGGTCAGAATATGCTGAGATGAAGTGGAAAACAAATGACATTAAAGAAAAAAAAAATGAAAAAACTAAAATGAAAACGGACATATAAGATAACTAACAAGGCAATAAGGATTTACTGTACATCAGAGTAGAATTTACACTGGAGAAAAATGCATTCATAATTTGAAATACAAAGTTGAAAAGTTATTTCGCAAGTCAAAGGACAGGAATAAATAGTTGGAAACAATGCAGGCACACTAGATATAGAGGAGGAAGAATAAAACTCCAAACTAAGAACTACAGATAGACTTGAAAAGGAAATCAAAACAGTTGGCACAGGTGCAATAAATCAAGGAAAAATCTATTTAGTTGAAATGTATACATATCTAAAGATCTCTTCATGCTCCAAATAAAGTTAATAAATAGACACATCCTGGCAAATTTTTAACTTAAAGAAAACATCCAACAAGCATTTAGGCCAAGACACTAGTTAACTACAAATAAATATACCATAATATATACAAATAAATAAATATGCACTGTTAGGTAATAGAGAAGTTGCTACAGCATGTTAAGAGAGGAAAACCCATTTTCTACTACTCAGTCAAGTTGCCATTCATGTGTGTAGAAAATAGACATTCTCAGAAATGTCAGGTCTCATAAAAGGTAACATTTAGGGATCTAAAATTACTTAAAGGCACAGTCCAGCCTGAAAAAAAGTGGATAACAATTAAAAGCACAAGAATGTAAACAGGGGGTTAAAAGAACTAGTACATGGTCTAATAAACTTCACATCTATAAAGGGAAATTAGTTCTTTCATGCAGCTTCTGGTATGACAAGCTCCCAGTAGACAGACCCTTTATTCCCAAACATAGATTTCATCTCAGACCTTCGTCGACATCATGCTCTGCTGATAATAATGGTCCATGGCCCCTTATCCACAACATCAAAATCCAAGAAACTTTGAGAATAGAGAACTTTGAGATCAGAGAACTGACATGAGGCTATTTATAGTTTTTTTAATCTTCTGAATGTTAATATTCATCATTTTGCTGCATAAATATTAGCAAATTGGATTGCAGCTTATTGCCACATACTCTTCTGTGGCTATCACATAACATGCAATATTTTCCTTTCTAAAATTAAAAAAAAAAAACTCTTATAATTCTGGAGCACGTTCAAGGATTCCAAATAAGAGATCATGGAACTCCAGTAGACAAACTCACTCAAATGGTTCACTTTCTTATAGCAACACTAGCCAGTTTATGCATCAATTATGTACACCACCTCTCAC
Organism: Homo sapiens; assembly: GCF_000001405.40. NCBI lineage: Eukaryota > Metazoa > Chordata > Mammalia > Primates > Hominidae > Homo > Homo sapiens. The sequence goes on from NC_000014.9 coordinate 38,841,521, forward strand.
ACCACTCTGGACACTCAAGATAACTGATTTCTTTCTATGGTGTGCAAGGGACTCTCAATTTTAGAAGACATTCAGGGAGGAGGACTCTTACCTGACTCTCACCTGAATACCTATACTATCTGCCATGCTGAAAGCTGGAGGAACACTTCTTGGGCTCCTTGAAAAACGATGAAACATTCCATTCCCATGGCTCATTTCAAACAGTCTCCCTTCATGCACATGTATCCCATATTTAACCAATTACTATTCTATCCAACCCACTGGAAGCCTGTCCTTGACCTTGGGCCTTAGACATCTGTCCCTAGCAAAATGGCAGGTCTAATATAAGAGGTTGTATATTCCTGACACAGCTGTGGGACACTCCAAGTATCTGAACAGTCAGAGTGACATTTACTGGAGGATGACACCCAAATTTTGAACACTATGGTATATTAATGTTTTCCTAAGCTTTGCTTCAAGGATGGAAAGGATCAGATTATGCTTCCCTCTGTTTCTCCAGCTCAAATTACAGGAATTTACAAATGTAAATTCCCATTTGCCCTCTTGGAGGGCATTCTCTATTTGCCCTCTTGGAGATCCTTCCAGTCTCTAACTCCAGATCTGTTGGCTCTGATTCACTTACTCTCTATCATGACTATTCACTTCAGATTCCCCTTTGGTTATTTATCCAATCTTTTTTCTGTATGCTTTGGATGTTTTAAAACTTCTCTTCACCCAGAATACAAAATTTTGTTTGCCTGTGCTCAGTGCTTTGCAGCCATAGGTGAGCCCTATTGTATTTGCTAGAATTAAAACATGTAATCAAAAATAAAATAAAATTATGATTAAATAAAGTAACCGTTTATCTATTTCAGCTAATGGAAGTCCAAAGATATCCCATCCAAGACTTAATGGCTTCCCTGTGGTGAAGAGGCAACCAAGCATCTTTGATCTTTATGTTCTACTATCAGAACATACGGTTTCCATGCTCAAGGTCATCTCACAGACAAAGATGGCTGCTAGAACAATAGATTTCATTTACATCTCCCAGGCAGCAGGAAGGAAAAGGAACAGAAAGGCAAAGAGGACACACTCCTCAGATGAAGGAGCTTCTAAAGACGTTCCAAAAGTATCACTCAAAGCTTAATGCTTACTGTCATTGTCTCAATTCAGGAATGTGTATTCACCTAGCCATAAGGAAGGCTAGCTTGAATTTGGCCAGCTGCCCAATATATACACACACACATACAGGAACACACAGGGTTTTGTTTGTGGAAAAAAGAAGAAATTAGGCTGGGCAACTAGCAATCTACCAGCAGTTTCTGCCATAGTCACCTACTATGATGCTTAGTCTCAGCATTAGGAGATCAGATGTTAATCAGCAATAATAAAACATGCACTCTCAATTCATTGCTCATCCAGATTCATACAAAGTAGTGAGAATGTCAAGGTTACTGAAGTCACAATTTTCTATTAATAAATAAAAGGCAAGAGATATGTTTCAATGGGTTGGAAAAAGCAGGCATGTGCTTTTTGAAATTTTAATGTGGAGTTTGTAGGTGAAAGCTCTATTGACAAGGTCCAGGAAAGATGAAAATGGTACTGGCCATAATCACTTCCTGTTTTACTCTCCATCTTCTCCATTATAGAAATTCTAGCCATGTCAGTGATACCACAGACTTATCCCTTCCTTTCAACTTGGCAGCACAGGCCAGGGTTACTGACATGTTTGCCTTTTCCAACACAGTTAGCATCCTTGTATTTTCTACAGTGGGGCTCTCTCCAATGTCAGATGAGTTTTCCAGTTATGGTACCTCTTAAAAGTTTTAAGACATTTATAAATAAATAAAAAACACTCAAGAAACCTCACAGAACATAATATCAGAATCCTCAAAATATTTTGTGGCAACTAGAAAAGAGGAGGATGAGGTCTGGGAAATCTCTTCGCCCAATTCATGTGATCAGGTTTTCTAATTATCCAGAAGAACCAATACATATCGGCAAGCAACTTAAAAACATGTTATTCTGAAATGCTATGTGTATTTTTTTAAGTTTTTTATTCCATCATGTTTTATTCCAAAACCATAAATTAATTATATGCAGATTAAGAGGCAGACATAAAATCCACTATTAAAAATATTTCATTTATGTTATAAAAATAATTTAATCTATTTTCTGTCTCTATAGATTTGCCTACTCTGGACATTTCATATAAATGGAATTATACACTAGATGGTCTTCTGTGACTGGATTCTTTATTTAGCATAATGTTTTCAAGAATTGTATGGTATGTCCATTATATCTCAAAATGTTATTTTTAAAAATCAATGTTAAAAAGTAAAATAATAATATAACATAAATTGATTTAAAAGAAACTCAAATATAACAAATTTAAGATGACTGGAAGTAAAATTTGAATAAAACTTTAGGGGAGGCAGGGCGCAGTGGCTCCCACCTGTAATCCCAGCACTTTGGGAGGCCAAGGCGGGCAGATCACTTGAGGTCAGGAATTCGAGACCAGCCTGGCCAACATGGCGAAACCCCCCGTCTCTAATAAAAATACAAAAATTAGCCAGGCATGGTGGCACACGACTGTAATCCCAGCTACTTGGGAGTCTGAGGCAGGAGAATCACTTAAATCCAGGAGGCAGAGGTTACAGTGAGCGGAGATCGTGCCACTGCACTCCAGCCTGGGTGACAGAGCAAGACTTTAGAAGAAAACTAGCAAGAAATACAATAGAAATAATTATTAATTCAGATAATATAAACTTAATGCAAAAAGTATCAAATGTAATAAGAAAGATTTTATTAAAGGTACAACTGTCAGGTTGGTGCAAGAGAAATTGAGGTTTTGCTATTACTTTTAATGGTAAACGCCATGATTACTTTTGCACCAGCCCAATGCAATAAAGAAATAAAAGACATAAATTGTTAACAAGCACTAGAACTCAAAATAAACACAATGGTGAGAGAGAATTATACAACTCTCCCAATCTCTAACAGAACAAGTTAGAAAAATATGTATTAAAATGCAATGAATAAGACTGATTTCATAGATAAACATCAAATTTTCAGTCCTTTTTAGAGGATATATTTGCTTTAAAAAGTGAAACAATTACAAAAATGATCATATTTTAAGTCAAAAAGACAAATTCAACAAATTCTAAAAAGCAGAAACTGAACTAGTTAAATTTTCTGAACATAAAACAATAAAGCTATAAATTAATAGTAAAGGTTTAAACAAAAATCATTTAGGAAAAAAATGTAACTTCTTCTGGATAAACATTGTAGTGAAAAGAAATCCAAACCACAATATCAGATTATTCAGAAAACAAAGACAATGAGAACACTGTTCTATCAAACCTAAGGTATGTGACAAAACTTATACTAAGAAGCAAATGTAACCTTAAATGTTTTGACCTGATTATTAAAAAGGAAGGATAAAAATAAATAAATAAAGTGTACAAATAGAACTCGAAATAAATAAGAAAAACAGAGAAAATGAAATAATAAAATAAACATAGAAAATTAAAAGAGAGAGAAATAAACTGGAAAACTGAAAACAGTGTTGATACACAAATATAAGATCTTGTAGTTCAATATGGATAATAAAATATATTTATCCCTGGTAAATCCATTCAAGAAAAAAAAATATATAAAACAAGTTATGAGACTAGAGAGTCAACCAATACAGAAAAAAAAAACTTAAAAACCTAAGAGAATAGTATATAATACCATAAGATGTTTGAAATATATGATGAATTAATAAAAAAGAATAAGAATTTCTCAACATAATATCTACCCAAAAAAATCAATAATATGCTTAATGGTGTGAAATGCTAGAAGCAGTCCCATCATAATAATGAATAAAATAAGAAAGTATGCTTTCTCCTTTACTATCAAACACTGTTCTAAACACTGGCCAGTGAAATAAAGCATGAAATAGAAATGAAGTAAAATTATTAAAAAGCAAGAAACTAAATTATCATTACTTGCAACTGATATTATCATATAGCTAGGGAGAAATGCAAGAGAATCAACTATAAATTTTATAAAATTAGTGGAAGAGTTCAATAATGGCCAAATAAGTATTAATGGCCAGATAAAATACATATGCAAATATTAACAGCATTTCTACATAAACGGCTACAATTGATAATGAGAAAAAAGTTTCCACTCATAATAGCAAAAAAAAACTTTAATACCTGGAAATGACAATAATAGAGTCAGCCACTACAGATAACATTTACCGAACTTCAAAACAGAGAAGTAATGGCCAAAGAAACAGAATTTGGGAAAGTTTGTTTTTAGGAATTTTTTTTTTTCCAAAAATCATGGGCAGTCATATACGCCAATGAAGAGGATCTCCTTGAAAATGAAATGTTAAGTACTTGAAAGAGAAAGGCGGCCAGGAGCGGTGGCTCACGCCTTCACGCCTGTAATCCCAGCACTTTGGGAGGCCGAGGCGGCTGGATCACGAGGTCAGGAGATCGAGACCATCCTGGCTAACACGGTGAAACCCCATCTGTACTAAAAATACAAAAAAAATTAGCCAGTCCTGGTGGTGGGCGCCTGTAGTCCCAGCTACTCGGGAGGCTGAGGCAGGAGAATGGCATGAACCCGGGTGGCGGAGATTGCAGTGAGCCGAGATTATGCCACGGCACTCCAGCCTGGGTGACAGAGCGAGACTCCATCTCAAAAAAAAAAAAAAAGAAAGAAAGAGAAAGGCAAGTTGCTCAAATTCATCTAATTAAATAAGTTGAATTTATGAATTCACCAGCTCAGTTCCCCATCCACATTAGATATTTTACTAACAATTGTTTCCAGTGTGCTATGGTAAACTATGGTCATGGAATACCATTACTCTGTTTGTCTGATTGTGGGCAAATCAGAATAAAAGAAAGAAATTTATTTGACCTAATCTCTATCAATAGAGTAATCAAGATAATTGAAACAAGCATCCAGATAATCATGATAATTTGTGTTTTTAAAGATAAAATTAATCTATTGCACTGATTATGCAAATAATTACCTCAATTCTTCAATACATGCTGCTAGTTTAGATTTGGTAAAAAATAAAATTTATGTTATTATCATTTTATTTGCATAATTATGCAGGGAGGAGAATGGATAGGAAATTTTGTTTTGATATCTTTCCCTTTTCCACCTCTCTAGGATTGTTTCCACATAGTGTTTTCTCTTGAATATCAAAGATAGTCACGGTGGATTGTGATTTATCCAGTTAACCCCACCAGACAACATCAGCTATGCAAACGTGAATATGGATCACATCAAATCACTTCTGTCTTGGCCCGGTACATATGTGTGGAATCAAGATTTTGTGGAGATAAAAAAAATATTATCAGCTCCTTTTCTCTCTTTTGTTCTTCTGTTTACTCTTTTAAGTAGTAGCCTTTTTTATAATTTCTTGATGAGAAGGTCACACTTCAAGATATCATGCTACAAAAAAATGTCTAAAGGTGATATCTTTCTTTAATGTATTAAATTAACAAGTATGAACTTTACATTATTTTAGAAGATGATGCTAATTTAGGCACAGCTCAAGTCCCACTTGGGAAAATATACATTGATTCTTCCCATATGTACCATGAAACTATTCAAACATAGAAGATACCACAGGTCAAGTCCCCAGGAAGAATACTCTGAGAAGGTGGCTTGTGTGCAGGAGGTTTATTAAGATGTGCTCTCAGGATCAATGCTTGTAGGGGAATGAAGAAAGAAGGATTGAGCACAGGAGCAAAATGAATGAACATTGTATCAATATCAAGAAAGGCCTCAGCTAATCCCATAAAATGCTGCTTCAATGTTGTCCTGTGTTGGAGAGAAACGGACTCAGCCAAGTGCTGTCAGCTGCCAACATTCCCAGCAGTTGGGGAAATAAGTACTTTAGTCCTAAAGTACTCATTTAGTCCTAAAGTACTGGACAGTATACTGCAGCATCTACTAATCCATTACATAAACGTGTTAGGAAACAAAGATTTTTTTTTAATCGAAAGCTTCTAACCAAGAGGCATGTCATAGACCTTACTGGGTTGGGAATCAAAGGAACTATATGCTATCTTGTCTCATCCACTAAAAAAAATTTAAAAAATTAAAAAAAAATTTAAAAAAAAGTGGCTTTTGGAAAGCACTTTTCCTCTCTGTCTTCATCTATAATACTTTTCCTCTCTGTCTTCATCTATAATATCAGGTTTGACAAGAGAATCACCTATGGTCTCTTCTACTTTGACAATCCTAATTTTGGTGCCTTCATTTTTGACAAAATCAAGAGGAGGAAAAGATTTTAAATGTAGTCATGACTCTTAAAAAAAGTTTCATTTCACTAAGATTTAAAAGTCTTAGATCCTCTTATTTCCCAGTTAAATTAAATCCCAAAACTCCAAAGTCATTTTCAAGTCCCCTTGATAACATTAGTATGTGAAACTTTTAACAAAATCTAAGAGTAATATTTAAGCCCCAGAAGAGGAAGAATAAAGATGATTGATCACAGGCTCTACTGCTTAGACTAGAATCCCAGGATGTTGAATTCAAACTAGGAATTCAAAAGAACTTCTTTAATCCTAACTAACTCCATCATCACCAGTTTTTCCAAAGAAACAGAATTGCTAATGAACCCAAAATGAATTTCATTATCCCTGCAAAACCAAGTGTGCTACATTTCTTCTACTGGGAAGAAGCAGAATAGCCACACTGCCTCCTTTATTGTCTTCCTCTGTCCTTCTTTGAAAAGGCCAGTGGCACATCTGGGGTCTCCATTATTCAGAACAGCCAACTGACAGACATAAAAAGATCATCTACCCTTCCAAACATATGAAAGTCAGTCGTCTTTATTTGGGCACTTTAATATAATTGCCTGGGAGAGGTGAAAAGAAAACTAAAATGACTACATTGGATTTACTCTCTCACTGTATTAGGACTTGTGTAGCATCTTTGTCCCTTATAGGAACAAAATGGAGAGAGCTAAAAATAGAGGACATTGATCTTTTCCTGGCACTAAGCTTCATGAAGAATAGCTTTTTGCAAAAGAGCAGCTTTATTTCATCTATTTGAGTATTCCACATCATGCGTGCAACATAGCATTTTCTTTAATATGTTCCATTTCTAGCTCTGCCTTTTATTTTGTCAACAGCAACTTTAATATTAATGATTCATACCAAAAAGAGGAGACTAAAAATACATAGTTAGAAATAAAATGACTTCTCCTTTTGTCATAAGCAGGAAGCTAGCTTCAACTGATGTTAAACTGTCACTGAACATGAAAAGAAAAAAATGTAAGCCATTGATTTTAACAGAACTTGTGCATTGTTTATATTTGTGAAAGCCCATTTTTAGTTATTTGCAACAATTTTGTATTGTAACACACTGACATGTTTCCTGCTATTTTTGTCAGGCATATGTTTTCATTTTCTACTGGAATGTTTCCATGTACTTGTATATAATTATACCTCAATTTCTATATAACTCTTCTAGAATATATAATGATAAGACTGCACTTTTATAGCAGGAAGGGAATGCTAAGTTATTCAACAATAGCCATACTACTTGGTATATCCCAACAAGTTTCCAAAACTAAGAAAAGCCATATAAATAGTTCTCAAAGATTGATAAACCAACAAAAAACAACAATAAGTTATTTCTAATATCTAATTTCCACCAAACTGTGCAGCTAGTTTGCTTTTCTTTCAAGACATTAATCTGAGTCATGCCAAAAGCAAGGATACTGAAGGAGCCAGTTTCACGGACTGTAGATCGAAGGAGTCATTTGCGATATGCCACATACCACCTGGCTCCCCTACTCAATATCCCCAAGTGCTACCTTGAGGTCTGCATACTGCCATCATGTCCAAAGAAATGATTTTGGAACAAAATGGGCAGTGAACACATTACACAGAAATGCAGTATGTTGGTATAAAAATATGGGAGGAGCGGAACTGGCTGCTAATTGATTGGCAGGGCAGAAATGAGGTTTTTGCATTTCAGCTGAGAGAGTTCTACCAAAGTACCCAGAGCTAGAGACTCCTCGGTGAGGAAGGTGGTTGAGGGATGCCGCAGACTAGCCATAATGCCAGCTGGCTCGGCTATGCAAAGACTTGGAGTGCATCAAACTCTGCAACCTTGTGTATTAGAGAGGGGCTCAAAAGGTATGTTCTGTGGAAGCTAATAAACTTGGGAAATGCTACAAATTAGAAAAAAAAAAAAAAAAGCCTGCAGCTGAACTGCACTTCCAGAGTCAACACTAAATTGAGAATGAGAATTAACATATGCCTACCATTGTGGGTTGAATTGTGCCCCCTGAAGACATATGTTGAAGTCTTAACCTGGTACCTGTCGATGAGAACTTATCTGGAAGTAGGACTTTGCAGATGTAATCAAGTTTAGATAAGGTTATACTGGATGGGAGTGGACCCTAGTCCAATGACTGTTGTCCTTATAAAAGGGGAGGAAAGATACACACATGGACGGAGGGAAGATGATATGAAGACACACAGATAGAATGCCAGGTGATCGGAGTAATGAGTTTACAAAGTCAAGGAACACCAAAATCACCATCAATCACCAGAAGCTAGGAAAAGGCAAGGAAAGGCAAAGAAGAGGCAGGGGCTCCCTTGGAGTCCTCAGGGACAGAGAACATGGCCCTGCCAAAACTATGATTTTGGATTTCTGGCTTCCAAAACTAGAATAAAATAAATTTCTGTTGTTTTATGTCACAAAGTTTGTGGCAACTTGTTGTGGTAGCCCTAGTAAACAAATAAACCTGCCATGAGAATAGGAACAGGGGAGGAGATGACACTGTGTTGAGGGAATTAGAGAAAGCATCATGAAGCAAGCAACACTGAATCTGTACCTTAACAAGTGAATAAGGTTCAATAAGTTGAGATAATGGAGTAAGAGGGGAAGGACAACCCAGTAGACAAATACTGAACAAAGAAAGAGGAGCAGTGGGAAAAGACAAGGCATGTTTGAGAAACTCCAGGAAGTTCAATTTTAGCATGTCATAAGGTGTACATGGAACAGAGGGAGGTAAGACTAGAAAGTGAGATGAGACCATGTTGTGCAGAGCCAGCCTAAGGAGCTCAGATTTAACCCATAACTAATAAAAAACTATTGAACTTTTTTGGCAGAAATGTAATTTGATCAGAGCAAAGTTCAAGAATATTAATTTAGCAGCATATGTAGAGTGACTTGATAAAAGGAGAGAAAATTTTGAGTAAAGGAGAGAAAAAAAAGTGAATACCAGTTAGGGAATTACTGTAGTAGTCCAAGCAATAAAAATAACTAAATGCAATATAAAGTAGGCTAGAGAGAACAAGAAAGAAGCAAAAGAGACAGAAGTACAAACTTGGTAGAGATAGAATTGATAGTTCCTTGGATTTGATTTCATGTAGGGATATAAAGTGTAAGCGAAAAATAAAAACTTTGGTGACTAAGATGAGAAGCAACATTACCAGAGATAGTTAAGTCAGAAGAGAGGTGGGCTGAGGGAAAAATGAGTTTGGGAAGCTGGTTTATGCCAGGTTAAACTGAGTTCTTTCCTGCTACACAAAGATGCTGCATTCTTGTTTGAGAATGCTCAGAGCAAGTTTATATCTCAGCCTGAGCTGTGTAGCACTGACCTGAGGGTTGGCGAAAGCAAGGGAGAAAATGGGAAAAGGAAAATGGACCAGAAAAATATTTGACAACATCTCAGTAGGGCACAGGTATGGATCCCGAGATAGTTGGAAAGCAGCCATGATGAGAGATTGAACAAGTCCTGGTCTTAATTGTCCCACATGATGACTCCTCCAAAGCACTGAGCATAGCTCATCTGTTGCTGGGTCGATCTTGGAAAGGGTAGAGATGCAAAGAATGGAAAATAGACCAAAGACCTACAGGGGGCCAATAGGTTAGTGCTCTTTCTAGTTCAAAAGGGAAAAGAAAACTTGCAAAAATCCCCAAATGCACATATTTTATTAAGCACTGGTTTACTGTATAAGAAGAAGCATTCTAAATGCAATAAATACTTTTTAAAAGGGAATTTTAAAATGTCTAGGTCAAAGTTAATTAATATGTATTAAGGGCACTAAAGCATCTAGTTAAAGTTGTTAAAAGTATGCACTGGAAAACTATATTAACCACATCTGAAAATTCTCCTTTTTCAAAACAAAAAAAATAGAAAATTCTCATTTATTAAATTAATGTAGATGCAGAAGTTACTGGTCTTCAGAAGAATGTGTTACAGATCATGTTACAGGAAAGGTGTGCCCCCCCCACCCCACCCCCCTGCTTCATTTAATAGCATCTACTGTTTGGCACTAGAGTAAGCAGAAAAAAAAAAAAAAAGGTGGCCCCTACCTGTATGAAAATTATAGACAAAAAAATAAGGAAACCAACAAATAAATAGATGAAACAAACAAAAACAAGGATGCTATAATAGAAAATGGTAAGAGGGGACATCTGCTTTAAGTAGAGTGGTCTCAAAAGCCCTCTCGGAGGAACTGATGTATAAGCAGAGATCTTAGAATGAGAAAGAGCCTGCCTGTAGTAGAACTGGGGTAGGGGCTGGCAGGAGGAAGTGCTTCTGCCAAACGAATGGCAAGAAGGCCTTATTTAGGTGAGCCCTCAGCACGTTCAAGGAACTGAAGAAAAAGACCATTCCAGCAGGGGCGACATGAGAGGCATGAGATGAAGCTGAAAAACACAGCAGGAGCAAGACTGAGCAGCGCCAGACAGCACATCATAGAATTTGGAACTGTTCCAAATATCGTTTTCCCATCCTCCTCAGAAGCTGAAGAAGAAATTTAAACTGTGAACACGATCCAGCTTACTTGCTTAGAAGTATATCTTTTCGCTGTATAGAGCATCAATAGTACAAAGCTTAGCAAACTCTAGATACTTGGTAAATGGCAAGAACAGAAGATAGGAGACTCCATAATCCAGGTTGGGGAGAAGACATGGGAAGAAGTGGATGTAATCAAGAGATATTTGAAGTGCAGCTGAGAGGAATTAGGGATTGGTTGGAAGAGAGAGGTGATGGAGAAGGAGAGATCAAGAATGCTTCTCCCTGTGGTTACCTGGACAACTGACTAAATGATGTGCCATTACCTGATGGAGAAGACAGGAGCAAGTTTAGGGAGGAAATCAAGAGTTCCTTTCTGAGCATGTCAAGTTTAAGACTGCAAGACTGTCATTGAGACTCTCGCATATATGAGGATAGAGGTTGGAAAAGAGATTTGGGCTGGGCATGTATATTTAAGAAGACAGGAGACCACTGAGAGGACATGTAGAGAGAGAAGAGAAATTCTTACATGTACAAGTGAGGTGAAGGAAGAGGAACCTGCCAAAAGTCATTATCATCATCAGCACACAGGTCAACACATGCCCTTTTTGAGCAAGGTCTGTTCCCACCCCCCTAGAGTTAAGTATTGTCTTGACTGGTAGAATAATCATTTCCTTACTCTTCTTTATAGTTTTACCACCTGAAATTCTAACTTAAGGATACGTGCAGTTTGCCTGCTTCTGGCATCAAGGTCAGGCTATCCACATAACGTGCGTTGGAGAGCAAATGCTCTTTTTCTGTTCTCTGGTTTGTATAAGATTGGAATTGTTTCCTCCTTAAAATGTTCAACTGACATCTCAGGTAAAGTCTTATGGGCCTGAAGATTTCATAGTTGGACAGTTTTTAATTACTGATTCAGTTGCTTTAATAGTTGCAGAGATATTCAGGTTGATCTCAATTATTGATGCTGATATGGCTTGACTCTGTGTCCCCACGCAAATTTCATCTTGAATTGTACTCCCATAATTCCCATGTGTTGTGGGAGGGACCAGGCGGGAGATAATTGAATCACGGCGGCAGTTTCCCCCATACTGTTCTCGTGATAGTAAATAAATCTCAAGAGACCTGATGGTTTATAAGGGGTTTCCACTTTTGCTTCTTCCTCATTCTCTCTTGCCACCACCATGTAAGACGTGCCTTTCACCTTCTGCCATTATTGTGAGGCCTCCCCAGCCAAGTGGAACTGTGAGTCCATTAAAACTATTTTTCTTCCCAGTTTCAGGTATGTCTTTATCAGCAGCATAAAAATGGACTAATACAGATGCTAAGGCAAAAAAAATGTCAAGTACTGACCAAAGTGAACACAACTTTTATAAACTTGACACACTTTTTTTTTTCATTTTGGAGGCAGTTGAGGGAAGGGTGAATTGCATTAAGTTGCTATTATTATTAAATTTGCATTTTCAGAATACATATTGAATTACTCAAAAAAGGCCCTGGATCATTGACCAAAAAAAAAAGATTAAATTTTTACCACAGATAATAAACTGGACTGTTCAGTGTCTGCTTGGATTTGCTCGGCCAAGACTTTTGTTCAGTGTTACCACTGACTCTGTTAAGATCATCTTGCATTGATTGCATTGTTGAAAGCTCCTAAGAGGAAGTTTTTCTTTTCAGTTAAAGAAGATTCATTGCTGCATTTGTTGTGGGGCTATCTTCTGTGGGACTCCGCCTGCTTGGCTGGCTTGGCTGCAGGGGTGGCTGCCCCAGGTCCTACCTATTGCTTGCAGACACAACCTGAGAACACATCTCCTCTTGCCTACCGCAGTCAGCTTCCCTGTTGCCTCTGAGGCATGAGACACTGGAGGATCCCCTCAGGATTCTCTCTCTCTCTTACACACACACACACACACACACACACACACACTCATATGGCCAGGCCCAGAAGTCTGCAGGCTCTGGGCCAACAAATAATGCCCTGGCTGGTGTTAATTTCAGGGGCTGATTCTCTTGGGTTATTGCTCATGCAGAAAATGCTGCCTCTGCTGGGTTATTATTATTTTTTAATTGATACATAATGATTTACAAAGAAACGATAAATGTTCGAGGTGATGAATATGCTGATTTGACCATCACACATTGTAGAAAGATATCAAAATCTCACACTCTAGCCCAGCTGTTTTGAATCTGGATTCCCAAGCCAGCTCTGGAGGGGCCTCAGAGCACTATCCAGAGGCGCAGATGACACCCACAGGAAAAACTTTGACTATCAAACTAAGAATGCTGGCAAATTTTTTTTCTCTCTCTGATCTGAGACTGAGTTGAGGTACGGTAATTCATGCCATAACCTCTGCACAAATGTTTTGTAAAGCCAGGTAGTCATCTGCACATGTCACAAAGCTCCGGCCAGCATCAGTAGCATGCTGGTTGTATTTTCTATCCCTCCTTGCCTGCCACCATCCTTTGTCCCCTGGCTCCTGAGCCTAGGATTGCACTTGACAATTAAGTGTTAACATGTTAACAGTACTGCAGGCACTGCTTTCCAAGGAGCCCAGGCTAAGGCAAATAATCAAGTATTATTATATACTTCAGGTTGAGATTATTTTTCTCATTTTTGCCATGTGCTGCTATCTCACCTCATCTGTTCATCATTATAATTACTGTCTTTCAAACACGTTTAACTCCATTACTACTATCTTTTCTCACACTTGCCTGTCAAAATCCAACCATTTCCTTTGACTTTTTCTTCCTTCCCTACTTCCTCCCTTTCTTCTTTCCTCTTTTTTAAAAATCCTTTTAAATTGTGAAATGTAATACACATACATAAAACTGAATGGAGCATAAATGTATATTTTAGCAAAAACAAACCACCCCAGTCAAGAAATAGAATATCGTCAGCACCCCAGAAGCCACAACATGCCTCATTCTGATAAAAAGTTCCACTCCCATCCCCTCTAGAGTCAAGCATTATCCTACTTTTGGCTGTCAATAGGTACCAGTATATTATCAAATTAATAGATGGAATTAGAACTACCTTTCTTTGACATCTAGATGTAGAAGTTCTCTCTACCTTACACCTAACACCCGAGTAAGGTCCAAAATTTTACTATGATTATATGCACAGTTTATGGCCTAAGGCTATACAAAATAATTCATCTCCTTAGTCCGAGAAACAGCAAAATCTTCAACCACTGTAATAACAAGCAAGAGAATGTCAAATTGATGAGCTCAGTTTCATCCTCAGAAACATACACCGTGATGAAGAGAAGAATTTGGATACAAAGGGTAACTCAGGCCGAAGGACAAACTGAAGATTGAGGGTTTTATCCCTGGACCTGCAATTAGCTACTACTCTTAGAAAGTGCTTACTTTTTCTCTTTATCAGCAAAATAATATATCTACAACAACATCAACAAACCCAACTACCAAGGCAAACAGACAGGTATTGATTTGCTTTCCCAAGGACCAGGGGCTTCAATGAATCACACTTCTGGCAAACTGTTCTTTAAACACTTGATAGTTTTGCAACTGAACTGTGAAACTCAGACTGGCACTTTCTCTCTAGGCTTTGGTGATTTGCAGGTAGGATGTGTAAAAATTTTCACCTGTCAAAGAGCAAGGTTTTTTTTTCCTTTCACAAAAATAGTGAGAAAACAAAACTCATATCAGCAATGAAACAAGTATTTTTAATTTTTTTGTATTAATTATCTTCATCAACTCCTCTTCATTCCCAAACCCCATAACAGCCCTGTATACATCCTCCCACACCTTTATCATACAAACATATTGAAACATAGGTACACATTTACAGTTTCTTGGTTATTTGGTTATATACAAATAAAATCTTCATACGCATATTATTTTGAAGTTACTTTTACTAGCTTTACATATATCATGAACATAACTTAGGATCAAAAAACAAAGGATAGATTCATTCTAGTAGCTAAGTAACGTATTATATATACATGTAACATAGTGTATTTAATTATTTCCATATCAAAGTGCATTCATGTTGCTTTCAGGTTTTTGTTTCTACAAATAATTCATCAATAAACTTCTTATGTACTGGAGCTTTTATTTTATAGGATAAATTTCCAAAAGTGGGAGTCCTGAGGCAAAGAGTACCCATTTAGCCTACTCTTCTTAAATGTCAGGTAGTAACTTATAACCCTGCTAGAAAGAAAAGAGCACATATCTTTCTCTTTTTAAAATTTAACTTTATGTTCTGGGATACACGTGCAGAATGTGCACATTTGTTACATAGGTATACATGTGTCATGGTGGTTTGCTGCACCTATCAACCCGTCATCTATGTTTTAAGCCCTGCATGCATTAGGTATTTGTCCTAATGTTCTCCTTCCCCTTGCCCCCACCCCCTGACAGGCCCTGGTGTGTGATGTTCCCCTCCCTGTGTCCATGTGTTCTCATTGTTCAACTCCCGGTTATGAGTGAGAACATGTGGTATTTGGTTTTCTGTTCCTGTGTTAGTTTGCTAAGCATGATATATTTTAGCAATAACAAACCACCCCAGTCAAGAAATAGAATATTGTCAGCACCCCAGAAGCCACAACATGCCCCATTCTGATAAAAGTTCCACTCCCATCCCCTCTAGAGTTAAGCATTATCCTACTTTTGGCTGTCAATAGGTACCAGTATATTATCAAATTAATAGATGGAATTAGAACTACCCTTCTTTGACATCTAAGTGTCATCCATCCCTATAAAGGATATGATCTCATTCTTTTTCATGGCTGCATAGTATTCCATGGTGTATATGTGTCACATTTTCTTTACTCAGTCTACCATTGATGGGCATTTGGGTTGTTTCCAAGTCTTTGCTCTTGTAAATAGTGCTGCAATAAATATGTGCAAGAGCACATATTCTTTCATTGGCCATTGTTACTCTAGTATTTGCCAACCTGATAGATGGTAAGTGGTATCTCATGGTTGCTTTATTTTTTTTTTCAACTATTATTTTAATTTCAGGGGGTACATGTGCAGGTTTGTTACCTGGGTATAGTGTGTGATGCTGAAGTTTGGGCTATAAATGATTCCATCACCTAGGTACTGAGTATAGTACCCAATAGTTAGCTTTTCAACCCTTGGCTCCCCCTCTCTTCTCATTCTAATAGTCCACAGTTTCTATTGTTCTCAACTTTATGTCCATGAGCACTCAATGTTTAGCTCTCACTTGTAAGTGAGGACATGAGGTTTTTTATTTTCTGTTCCTGTGTTAATAATTTGCTTAAGATAATGGCCTCCAGCTGCATTCATGTTACTGCAAAGGACATGATTTCATTCTTCTTATGACTGCATAGTATTCCATGGCATATATGTAACACATTTTCTTTATCCAATCTGTTATTAATGGGCACCTAGGTTGATTCTGTGTCTTTGCTATTGTGACTAGTGCTGCAATGAATACACAAGTATATGTGTCTTTTTGGTAGAAAAATGTGTGTTTTCAGGAACAGAAAGCCAAACACGGCATGTTCTCATTCATAAGTGGGAGTTGAACAATGAGAACACATGGGCACAGGGAGGGGAATATCACACACCGTGGGGGTTGGGGGGCTAGGGGAGGGATAGCATTAGGAGAAATACCTAATGTAGATGACGGGTTGATGCGTGCAGCAAACCACGATGGCACGTGTATACCTATGTAGCAAACCTGCATGTTCTGCACATGTATCCCAGAACTTAAAGTATAATTAAAAAAAAACAAACAAAGGCGGCCGGGCACAGTGGCTCACGCCTGTAATCCCAGCACTTTGGGAGGCCAAGGTGGGTGGATCACAAGGTCAGGAGATTGAGACCATCCTGGCTAACACCGTGAAACCCCGTCTCCACTAAAAATACAAAAAATTAGCCGGGCGTGGTGGCAGGCGCCTGTAGTCCCAGCTACTTGGGAGGCTGAGACAGGAGAATCACTTGAACCCGGGAGACGGAGCTTGCAGTGAGCCGAGATCATGCCACTGCACTCCAGCTTGGGTGACAGAGTGGGATTCTGACTCAAAAAAAAAAAAAAAAAAAGGCAAAACAAAAAAAGAAAAATGTGTGTTTTCTTTTGGATGTATACCCAGTAATGGGATTGCTCAGTCAAATGGTAGTTCTCTTTTAAGTTCTTTGAGAAATCTCCAAACTGCTTTCCACGGTGGCCAAATTAATTTACATTCCCACCAATAGTGTATAAATGTTGCCTTTTCTCCAGATCCTCGCCAGCATCTTGTTTTCTACTTTTTATTAATAGCCATTCTGACTGGTGTGAGATGGTTCTCATGGTGGTTCTGATTTGCATTTCTCTGATAATTAATGATGACAAGCATTTCTTCATATGTTTCATATGTTGGCCACTTGTATGTCCTCTTTTGAGAAGTGTCTGTTGATGTCTTTTGCCCATTTTTAATGGGGTTATTTGCTTTTGCTTGCTCAATTGTTTAAATTCCTTATAGATTCTGGATATTAGATCTTTGTTGGATGCACAGTTTGCGAATATTTTCTCCTGTTGTCTGTTTACTCTGTTGACAGTTTATTTTGCTGTGCAGAAGTTCTTTAGTTTAATTCGGTCTCACTTATCAATTTTCATTTTTGTTGCAGTTGCTCAAGGACTTCTTCATAAATTCTTTCCCAACACCAATGTCCAGAATGGTGTCTCCTAGGTTTTCTTCTAGAATTCTTAGAGTTTGAAGTCTTACATTTAAATATTTAATCCATCTCGAGTTAATTTTTGTTTATGGTGAAATGTAGGGGTCCAGTTTCATTTTTCTGCATATCGGTAGCCAGTTATCCCAGCACCACTTATTGAATAGGGAGTCCTTTTTCCATTGTTTATTTTTGTTCACTTTGTCAAAGATGACATGGCTATAACTGCACAGCTTTATTTCTGAGTTCTCTATTTTGTTCCATTAGTCTATGTGTCTATTTTTGTACCAGTATCATGCAGTTTTGGTAGCTGTAGCCTTATAGCATAATTTGAAGTCAGGTAATATGATGCCTCCAGCTTTGTTCTTTTTGCTTAGGCTTGCTTTTGCTATTTGGACTCTTTCTTGGTTCCCTATGAATTTTACAATAGTTTTTTCCTAGTTCTGTGAAAAATGGCATTGGTAGTTTTATAGAAAGAGCATTGAATCTGTAGATTGCTTTAGGCAGTATGGCATTTTAACAATATTGATTCTTCCAATCCATAAGCATAGAATGTTTTTTCATTTGTTTGTGTTATCTATGATGTCTTTTAGCAGTGCTTTGTCGTATTCTTTGTAGAGATCTTTCATCCCCTTTATTAGATGTATTCCTAGGTATTTTTTTCTGTGTATGGCTATTGTTAATAAGATTGCATTCTTGATTTGGTTCTCAGCTTGAACATTATTGATTTTTAGAAATACTGCTAATTTTTGTACATTGACTTTGTATCCTGAAACTTTACTGAAGTTGTTTATTAGTTCCAGGAGCCTTTTGGTGGAGACTACGGTTTTCTAGGTATAGTCTACGAAAAATTGTTTGACTTTTTCTTTTCCTGCTTGGGTGCGTTTTCTTTCTTTCTCGTCTGATTGCTCTGGCTAGCACATCCAGTACTATGTTGAATCGGAGTGACGAAAGTGGGCATCCTTGCCTTGTTCTAGTCCTCAAAGGGAATGCTTCCAGGTTTTGCCCATTCAGTATGATGTTGGCTGTGGATTTATCACAGATGGATCTTGTCATTTTGAGGTATGTTCCTTCACCATCTAATTTCTTGAGGGTTTTTTTTTAATGAAGAGATATTGGATTTTATCAAAAGCTTTTCCATGTCTATTCAGAGGATCATATGGTTTGTGTTTTTAATTCCATTTATGTGATTCATCACATTTATTGATTTGCATATGTTGAACCGACTTTGCATCATAAGAAAGAAGCCAGCTTAATCATCGTGAATTAACTTTTTTGACATGCTGTTGAATTCAGTTCGCTAGTATTTTGTTGAGGATTTTTGTGTCCATGTTTATCAGGAATATTGGCCTTTAGTTTTCTTTCTTCATTGTGTCTTTGCCAGATTTCATATTAGGGTGATGATGCTGGCTCCACAGAATGAGTTAGGAAGGAATCCCTCCTTCTTGATTTTTTTGGTATAGTTTCATTAGGATTAGAACTAATTATTTCAATATGTGATAGAATTCAGCTATGAATCTATTTGGTCCAGGGCCTTTTCGATTTGGTAGTTTTTTTTATTACCAATTCAATTTCAGAATACAATATTGGTCTGTTCAGTATTTCAATTTCTTCTTGATTCAATCTTAGGAGATTGTGTGTTTCCAGGAATTTATTTGTGTACTTCCTCTAGATTTCCTAGTTTGTGTGAATAGAGGTGTTCATAATAGTGTCTGAGGATCTTTTGTATTTCCATGGGATCAGTTGTAATGTCACCTTTGTTGCTTCTGGTTGTGTTTATTTGAATCTTCTCTTTCTCTCTTTTTTTTTTTCTTTCTTGTTAATCCAGCTAGCGCTCTATCCTTTTGGTTTTATTGATTTTTTAATGGGTTTTGGGTTCTCAATTTCATTCAGTTCCTCTCTGATTTTAGTTATTTATTTTCTTCTGCTAGCTTTGAGGTTAGTTTGTTCTTGTTTTCCTAGTTCCTGTAGATGTGGTATTAGATCATTAATTTGAGGTCTTCCTAACTTCTTGAGTTAGGTATTCAGCACTATTAAAAAAATTTTTTTTAATTATTTGAAATAAATAAAAACAAAGACACAACATATCTCTTCTGCCTATTTAAGTATTGTTGGGAAGTCCTATTAGCCTGATGGGGTTCATTTTGTATGTAATTTGATCTTTTTCTCAGCTGCCTTTAAGATTTTTTCATTAAAATTGACTTTGGACTGTTTGGTGACTTAAGTGCCCTGGTGATGTTCATTTTGTATAGTATCCTGCCGGTGTTTTCTGGATTTCTTGTATCTGTCTACCTCTCTAGCAAGATTGTAGAAGTTTTTTTTTTTTCCTTATTCCCACAAATATGTTTTCCAGGTTATTTACTTTTTCTTCTTCTCTCTCTCTCAGGAATGCCTATAATTTGTAGGTTTGGTTGCTTCACCCAAACCCATATTTGTCAAAGAGTTTGTTCATTTTTTGAATTTTTTTTTATTTCTGTCTTGCTGGGTTAGTTTGAAAGACTGGTCTTGAAGCTCTGAAATCCTTTCTTCTGCTTGGTCCAGTCTCTTGATAAAGGTTTCAATCATATTTTGAAATTTCTTAAGTGAGATTTTCAGTTCTAGAAGCTCTGATTGATTGATTTTTAAAATGTTTATCTTTTCCTTCATTTTCCGGATTGCATTAGAAGTTTATTTGTGTTGATTTTCAACCTTGTCTTGGATCTAACTGAGCTCCCCTACAATCCATGCTTTAAATTCTCTACCTGTCATTTCTGAGTTTCCTTTTTGATTAGGGAACATTGCTAACGAGCTAGTACAATTGTGATGGTTAATACCAAGTGTCAACTTGATTGGATTTAAGGATGCAAAGTATTGTTCCTGGGTGTGTCTGTGAGTGTGTTGCCAAACGAGATTAACATTTGAGTCAGTGGGCTGGGGAAGGCAGACTCACCCTCAATCTGGTGGGTACAATCTAATCAGCTTTCAGAGAATATAAAGCAGGCAGAAAAACGTGAAAAGGCCAGACTGGCCTAGCCTCCAAGGTACATATTTCTCCCATGCTGGATGCTTTCTGCCCTCAGACATTGGACTCCAAGTTCTTCAGTTTTGAGACTCAGACTGGCTCTGCTTGCTTCTCAAGCTTGCAGACAGCCTATTGTGGGATCTTGTGATTGTGTACGTTAAAACTTAATAAACTCCCCTTTATATATATAAATATATCTTATTAGTTCTGTCCCTCTAGTGAACTGTGACTAATACAGCAATTCTCTGGTGGTGTCACTATATTCAGATTTTTCACAGTGCCAGAATTCTTGTTCTAGTTTCTTCTTGTCTGGAAATGCTGGCACTTCTAATTTTTGTAATTATTTTCATACGAGTAGGATTTTTTCTTTTTATTTATTTCCCCATAGTATTTTTTTCTCTTCCTTTCTCCTTTCCTCTGCTTCATGTGCAACTGGAGAGAGTGCTGGGTAGGGTCTTTTGGCTTTGCTTCTATAGCTCTATGCATTCTTTCAGTAGGTTTTATATTGCGCTGTGCAGTTCAGCCTATATGCCAGTTGATAGTGCTTTTAGGTAAGAGCCAGCTGTGAAAAACATGGCTGGGTATATACTTGATCCTTGTTTACTGGCAGAAGCTCTCTGTTGCCTCAGGCAATGGGCTGGTTCATGGAATGCACAGTGGTCTGGGCTCCCTTCTTAGTCCTAGCATGGGTGGGGGCCACAAAGGACAGGGCCAGGCCAGGCAGGTCCACTTACAGGTCCCCTGATGACAAACACAAATACCAGGCACCAAGGAAGAATCCAGGGGGCAGCCACTAAGCACCCAAACATGTGCCTAGGCATGAAACTGGGAAACTTCCTCAGCCCCAAGTTCCCTGCACAGGAATAAGGGAAGGTGGCCTAAATTCCTAATCCAAGAGAGTAGATGCTCCAGATGCCTGGAGAGCTGCCTGAGTGTGGAACAGAGAGGACCCCTACTGCACCAAGATCTCTGCACAAGGACTGGTGACCCAGGCTGCTGGACCATGCAAGTAGGTGCTCTGAATGCCTGGGGATCTGCCTGAGTGTGTAGCTGAGAAAGCCCCTTTTTACCAGGGTCTCTGCACAGGATGGGTGGGGCAGCTCAGGCAGCTGATCCAAGTGAGCAGGTTCTACAAATTCCTGAAGATCTACCTGGGCATGGTGCAGAGAGGGCCTCCACGGCACCACAACTGATATCCCAGGAAGAGGGGCCCAGCTCAGGCTATTGGACCAGATGAGTGGTTCCTCTCAATGCCTGGAGATCTGTCTGCACCAGGATCTCTGCACAGGAAGGGCAGGATGGGTCAGGCTGTTGGTCCAGGTGAATGGGTATTCCAAATGCCTGGAGATATGCCTGGATGTGAAGCAGAGAGTCCCACTGAACCCTAATCTATGTCCAGGAAGGGTGGGCATCTCAGGCTGCTGAACCAGGCAAGTGTGTGGAGCAGAGAGGGCCCAGCTGCATTGCAATCTATGTCCATGAAGGGTGAGGTGGCTTAGGCTGCTGGTCCAGGCAAGTGGGTGCTCAGAATGCCTAATTTTCTGCCTAGAGGTGGAGCAGAGAGGGTCCTGCTGCACCATGTGCTCAGGGGAGCAAGCAGGGGCACCCAGAAATGGCACATGCAAATCAGTTCCAGGTCACCAAGCCAGCCCTGGCTGCAAGTCTCACCACCCAGGAGAAAGTGCAGCTGTAGCAGCTCTCCTCCCGCCCCAGGCTTACAATGGGGGAAAGCACAATTCCAGCATCTACTTCTGAGGCACTTCCCACATTTCTAACTGTGGAAGCCCCTACCCTACTCTAAAGCAGGCTCTTTAATCTCTGGCCCAAGACTAAAATGCCTGCATGGTTGCATTGCCAGGTCACCCAAGAATAGTTGCCTTTGTATGCTCGTGGAGTAAAAATGGCTCCCTGCTCTCAGTCCCAGGTCTGGGAAAATGTCTGCGGCTTTTCCTGATATCTTTCCCTCACAACATCTTCAAGCCTCTCCTCAGGTTAGCTACAGGGCTTGAGAGAAACAAAGTGCTTTCCCTCAGCCTGGGTTGCTTATATCCCCAATGGAAAGAAAGTCACAGAGGGAGGCTATCTATATCTCTCATTCTGGGGCTTCACGCACCTTTATCAGCTGGACGCCATCATGAGAGCTGCTTGGTCATGTTCTCCTATCCAAGATCTGGGGTATCATTCATAATTCTAGTGTACTCTCATTTCCCTTCTTGAATTAAAGCTCATAGAGTCAATCTTTATTTACTATCTTGCTATCATGAAGTGGCTGAGGAATGCTAAGAGCCTCTAATCTGTTATCTTCTCATGGCTGCTTTAATTTGCATTTCCCTAACTTCTCATGAAGTTGAATGTCTTCTCTATGGTGTTTATTCTGTATTTGTGTTTTTCATTGGTTTGTTTAGCCTTTCGATTTTTTAACTTGAGTTTATTTTTGCAATCAATTCACGGGAGAACTTTGAGGACTATAACCCTCTTGTCTGGCATATTGCTAATATCCCTCAAAACTCTCCCACAAATTTCCATATGTGATGTCCATTTTCTCCTCAGTCCATGGCTCTCTTTTACTTTTGATGTCTTTTACCATATAGGGTTTTTTTTTAATTTTTATGCAATTGTGGTGGAGACTACCAGTTGCCCGCTAAAACCCATTCTGCTTGCTTCTTTGGCATATGGCTGCACTGTACTTCCCTACTCCCTTGCAGTTAGGTGTAGCCCTAGGACAAACTTTCATCAATGTGATACACACAGGATAAATGTGTACCTCTTCCCACATTTAGGTCTTAAGAAGTACTCATGCCCCCTCCATGCTCCCTCTCCTTCCACCAGATAGAACTTGGACATGACAGCAAATTTTGACCATGGAGGGAACAATATCCTATGAGACAACAAAGCCACATGTATCAGTCAGGGTCCAATCAGAAACTGGGTGGGAGTGGGGCTTAATATATTGTTAAACTCTAATCAATGAGTGACTATAAGAGAAAACACCATATGGTACCTGATATGGTTTGACTGTGTCCCCACCCAAATATTGAATTGTAGCTCCCAGAATTCCCACATGTCCTAGGAGGGACCCAGTGGGAGATTACTGAATCACGGGGGTGGGTCTTTCCCATGCTGTTCTCATAAGAGTGAATAAGTCTCACGAGATCTGGTGGTTTTATAAAAAGGGAGTTCCCCTGCACATGCTCTCTCTCTTGCCTGCTGCCATGTAAGACATGCCTTTGCTTCCCCTTTGCCTTCTGCCATGATTGTGAGGCTTTCCCAGCCACGTGGAACTGCGAGTTCATTAAACCTCTTTCCTTTATAAATTACCCAGTCTCGGGTATGTCTTTATTACCAGCATTAGAATAGAATAATACAGTACCATTGGGCGGAGGAAGAGCCCCTGAGGAAGTCCAAACCTAGAGGGGACCCCCTTTCCCAAGGCTGGGGTTCAGCCCACTAGATAGCAGAGAAGTTTACTTGTTTGCCCAGGCCAGAGCTAACTGCAATCACTGAACAAGCAGGAAGCAATCTTCTGGAGTAGAGGCTGGGCACAGGCAGTCAGCAACTGGGGATCTTGGCCTGGGCATGCAGAGGGAGTGAGGCTCTTGGGCACAGGTCTGCAAAGTAAACTGCACTTGTAGGGGCAGGAGGCCTTCAGAAGCCATTTTTCAAGTGAGTTGGGCTGCAGAAAGGTTATCCCCAGGCCAGGCTTAGGCTGTAACATTGCTAAAGGATCATTCATTCTGAGTGCATGGTTAGAGCAGAACTCTACAGAATGGCCTCACATTGACACTGCTGACCCACTGTATAGCTGCCAGAAACAGCAGAAGCCCCTTTCACTAGCAATGTCCCTCCAGCACCCTCTAATGAGAAAGTGTAACATCTTACCCACTGTAAATGGAAGATGGCTGCAGGAATTCTGTCCACTGTTATCACAGAACATATGAAAGAGCGCAAGTGGAGCTTAAAGGCAATAAATTGTTAACTAGCACACTGAGACTTGTCAACTATAAAGAGCCTGAGTTCCTGAACGACCACAAGGCCCCCACCAGTGGTCAGCAACCACCTGGAATGCTCACCTCTGAAATGTTTCATGAGAGAAAAATAAGCTTTTGTGTCCTTTGAGCCACATGGAGAGGGGAGGTTATTTGCAATAACAATTTGGTTTTATCCTAATTCAGTACTCTTTCATTTTAGAGTTTCTTGGTTTCCTGCCTTGTTTAGGAAGATCCTCTAGAGTTTACTTAAAAATACGCAGCAGGTGATTATCTGATTAGGAAAAAACTTGTCAAAAGAGAATATGGTCACTTTGGTTATGGTTAGTTAACAGCTACTTCCTAATACAGACAAGTAAGGAAGAAAATAAAAAGACAAATGAACATTGTATAAGTAAAATGCCATAAACAAACCACTCTAGCTCCTTTGAGTAGCTTCTGTGAATACTTTCCAAAATGCAGACTTAAAGCAGCTGCAGAGAGGATGTTAATGTAAAGTAATCATAACAATTAGGTCTCCTAGTATATCGAGTGTCTTGACCACTCTATACAAACATTTGTTAATTAAGCAAGAGGTGTGAGCAGCTGGAAACATGGAAGGTATAGTTCCGTACAAAATTCTACACTGTCTTATGCCAGAGAGAATTCCTCTCAGCATGTGGATTGCCCTGTCATGTGAAAAGTTAATTATAGCCTCTCCACATCATCTCCGTCGTCCTCCTTTCCTCTAGTATCATTTCCTTCTTTGTGAGAAGTCAGTGTGGGCCTTATAGATAAAGTCAGTCAACATTTACGGCTGTGCTGTGTATGCACATTATATTGCCTGGCACTGTGGGAAAACACAAAGGAAAAACAGGCCCTCATCCAGATAAATAAGCATTTATGGCCTATCAGGGAATCTGAACCAACACATGAGCAATACAGAATAGGCAGGCCAAAAGAACATATCACTAATGAAAGCACCACTTGTAACAAGTGCCCACCTGTAGTAGGAACAATGAAGAGATGCTGAATGAACACATTTTCATCTCCCCTTTCCTGTAAAATCAGCATATATGTATGTGTAAATACTGGCTAACTAATCAAGTCCACCAAAAGACAAGTCAGAATTTGGTGATTACCTGAAGGTGAGTGGAGATAAATATTTTTGATGCTGGTGCTTTTAGCATATAATGGATTTATTATATTTCAGACACTTGTTCTAAACAATAGCATAAAATCTACTGGCAAATATCATCTTTCTCACTATTGTTTTGTTTTGTTCTGGGGCTCTGTTCTGGAAATCAAGGCTTACATTTTAGGGTAATAAAAAACAAAATCACCTACCCTGCTCAACATTTAAATAACACCTTTGCGCCTTTCTACCTTCCTCCCTGTAGGAATTCCCTGCATCCCCGATCCCACCTGCCTAGTGAATTCCTGCTATTCTTCAGACTCAGTTCATACAAAACTCCTCTGTGGGGCCTTTTCTGAGTTCCTCTAGACAGAATTTATTCAGCTAGCATGAGTGTTATCATTGCATTTTGGAAACATTTACTGCATGCTTTTATCTCCTGCTGATCTGTGGCAAGGATTTTTGTCTTCAATATTTATATTACTACAGCATGGCATTTGTAGGTGGCCAATATAAGCTTATTAAATGAATACATTTTCACTTTTGCTATATAGTTTCCATAATCTAGTGTCAGAACTTCAAATTCTTAAAACATGTCACAAACAGACTAATAATATTCTAGTAAAATTGTGTGTTGGTTTGTATTTAGAGCAGTGTTAAAAGTCTTTCCACCGATTGTTCCACAGCCCATGGCAGCGTTGAGTTGTGTCCTGGAAGTACACTGCCCTCTGCTGGCGTACTTTTCAACAAGCACATCAGTGCAAGGCAGGCCTTTGTTTAGATGGTGGTTCTAATCCCCCCACCATGCTGGGCAGCAGCTAACCACATGGCCATAGCTATTTATAGAAGGACAGTAGTGTAGAATATTAATTTTCATTTTATAGTCTGTGAAACATAGGCAGGGTACCAAATAGGAAATAAAGGCTGGTAAATGTCTTTATGTGTATTTTATATGGAGCCCTGAGTTGCTTAGAAAATTCGTATCATTTTTATTGTTTCATAATTTGAAATGGCTTTATACCAGTCTTGCTAAGACCACATAATTGTATCAAAGAAATATAAGACATTAGCACAACAGATCAATACACACACACACACACGGTGTGTTTCTAATTTTGTAAATACATGTTCTATATGCACATATCTGAAGGAGGAAAGGTTAGGAATAATGTCTCAGGATGCTAGTAAATGACAAGATTTTTAGCTGCTTTTAATTTAATTTTTGTTATCTTCTGTATTTTCTAATTTTTCTGAAATAATCATGAACTACTTGGAAATTAAAAAAAATGAAGAGAGAAAAGTTTATAGATAACGTTGCCAGGGGAAACAGTAATAGATAAGGCCTAAAGGCAAAATTAAAACTATCCTGCTTAGTGCAAGTAAAAGAAGTACCTTCTGATGCTTAACATCACTAAGAAAAATAAATCTATAGTTGTCGATTACAGGAAGAAATGTGCTTGTCCTCTCAGGGAGCCACTGTTTAGCCAGCCCCTCCAAGACAGGTCCTGTGAGGCTTGGTTCAGCCCCATTTACCTAGAAATTAATCATTAAGCCAGGCTGTTCTTCGTTAAGAAGCCAATGAAGTCGGTCTGCCATAGTCCCAGAAATACGGCTTGTGAAAGACTGCTTGAGTTACTCCAAAAAGAAACCAAATCATAGGCACTTAGAATACCCTGAGAAAGCTCAAGAAAGGGGGGAAATGGCATGAACACTTGGCAAAGAAAGCTCAGCAATTTTCTTTTTAATTATTGAGATAAGAGAGTGAGTTTGGTTTCATTTAGCTGTTCAAATAGAAATCTATTTAAATATTTAAACAGAAAAGCCTCCTGATCTACCATCCTGCCCTCCTGTAACAGCTATGGCCTCTCCACAGAGATGAATTTTATAGTGGATTTGGTTTGGGAAACTTCTGTTTTATGGGTTAGAAATTGATTTCAAGAGCATTCAGCAGAGTAAAATACACACAATTGTGTATTTGCTTTGGGGGTAAGTCCACACTCCCTTGCAGTACAAACTAAATCTCCTGCTGGTAAACACTAGGATGTTTGGCGTTTGAATTGCTTCTCTTTTAGAGATGTGGTCCTGATAATCTCTTTCACAAACTATTAAGGGCCCAAACCCTCCACGAATGCCTGGCCCTTACTTCCTGGGCATCATCCTGTGCTGTGTTTCTTCATTCTATTTGGACAAATAAAATTCAACAACATCAAAGCAACAAATATTTGTTATATGCCTACTTGTTGTGCCCAGTGAAAATTTACTCTCCCAGGTGGCTCCTGATAATCAGACAAATCTTGCTGCTTTCTTCCATAACCAAGCCCATTCCAGAATTTAAAGGTTTCTTTAAATTATGCACCCTTCAAGAAGCAATTCCACAAGATGGGGAAAGGCAGCCTGTCACAGCATTTAACCCATCAGACATTTTATGCTTCCAGTGTTTTACTCTGCCTAGAATGTCCAGACCATTTTTTCTTCCAGCAAAATCTTTTAACCTTAAAGGTCTAGCTTGATTCTCAACACTTCAGCCTCCCCTGAAGCACTACCTCCCTGAAGATGTAAGTTTCCCTTCCCTGATCATCGTTTCCAATTTCCTTGTTCCTACTTCAGGCAGAGCTCTAACACTGTATTACAATTTTCTGTTTACCATGTCTGCTTTTCCTCTTTAAACTATGAGTTCCCAAGGAAACAGACTGTCTCACAAAATAATATTCCCAGTACCTACTGTTCGATAAATAAATACTGAGTGAATGAATGAATGTAACAACCCCTAGAGAATCCAATTTGTCTGTATACTTTTATATGTACAATAAAAAGATTAACAGATCCAAAAAGACAGCGTGAGAGC
This sequence comes from Homo sapiens, assembly GCF_000001405.40. Taxonomy (NCBI): domain Eukaryota; kingdom Metazoa; phylum Chordata; class Mammalia; order Primates; family Hominidae; genus Homo; species Homo sapiens. Next base: position 38,869,865 of record NC_000014.9, read on the forward strand.
TTTATCTCAACTCTTCACAATATGTGATAAAATAGAATTGAACAAGTACTGTTTTAATTAATACCTAACAGAATGGCATTTATTAATATTTCTGTAGAGAGTAGTGTGAAAGCAGCAATTTTCACTTTGAGATTTCTCATGGGGAAAAAAAAATCAGCTTTTCAAGAAGAAAAGTAGATTTTCCTAGCAGCTCAAACTTCCTTTCACCAAATTCTGTTAAATCGAAACAGCTAGCCAAAAGCTGTTGCACATTTTGTCACCCCAAAGAATGTGATTTTTTTTTCTTGCTATGTTGGTGTGAGCTTTCCCACATTGCTTTATTTGACTGTGTGTGTGCCATTGGTGGCTGAGAAAAGAAAATCTCAGATATCATTCCTTGATTCACCAATTATAAATTTTGTAAAAATTTGTAAAAATACAAATTGTAAACTTGTATATTCCTAGTTAATTTAGTATTTTATTACTTTAAATCATAGTTCTCTTCCTTGGGAAGCTAATGTCTCCTTAATAATGAATTGTGCTTTTCCCCTAAACTATTCCCTGTTATTATTCCTGAACATTCCACACATAAATTCATCTCTGACCTTTTAGATTAATCCCTTTGTTGTTTAAGATCAATTTCGTCTACTTCCTGGTAGCCAGCAAGCCTGTTGGAAAAATATATTCATTCTTTCAAGTCCACAGTAGCACAAAATGCATTCCACAAGCTAGTATAAAACCATTTACAAACCAGAGGCTCCCAGGCTGGTAATTCAGCAAAGGTCCAGGCTGTCACTAATCCATCACGTAAATTGTTCACCTGTGAAACCATAGGTTCCGTATATGGAAATACAAAGCTAAGTCATTGTCCTCATAATTCAGGTTTTTTCAACTCTAACCTCATTACCTGAATATTTCAGATGAATGTGGGGGTTAGGTCAGCCTGAACAGTACAAGTAGAGAGGGTAGGTTAATAACTTTGCAATAGCTAATGTCCATCTTTCATAGGCAAATCAGTATACTCTGCCCAGATTGACACTTCTGTTTCCAACTTAAAGATTGTTTAACTGATCCATCTCCAAAAGTCTACGACTAAATTCAACCCTTAGGCAGTTTGAACATTTACAGTTTTGTTGAACTTAGCAAAATGATCATTTATGTTGTGCATACTCCAATTCTCAAGGCTGAGTTAATGTTAATATCACCTTGATGTGCTAAGATCTCCTAATGATGTGGTACCCAAAATCAATCTTCTTGTGTGCTGATTAGAGATTGATGTGAATTGAGTTATGACTTTATTCATGATAGACAAAAGACAAAGCTTTGGTGGTTTCAAAAAGGAAAAGACCAGCCTTGACAACATGGTGAGTCCATGTCTCTACAAAAAATACAAAAATGTGCCAGGTGTGATGGTATGCACCTGTAGTCCCAGCTACTTGGGAGGCTGAGGTGGGAGGATCACCTGAGCCCAGGAAGTCAAGACTGTGGTGAGCTGTGATCAAGCCACTGCACTCCAGCCTGGGCAACAGAGTGAGACCCCATCTCAAAAAAACAAAAAGGAAAAGATTTTAGAATATCAAATATCTTTTATCTCCTAAGTTAGATGCACAGACTAGCTTTTACTCACAAACAAGGATGAATACACTCTACCCATGCATCTGTGGCAACCAGACACTATAGTTCCAAGGTAGAATTATTACATAAAGTTGAATTTCTTTTTTCCTAAGCTGCTTGGGGTTGTAAGTAGAACAAAAACCTATATTCTGAATTTAGAAACTGGAAAAGCAGGTATGCTAAAATACAGAACATGATGGACAGCATAGCATTAATCTTGTTTTTGGACTTATTTCCCTCATGGAAAATTTCTTCACAAAGAGAGATTTACTGAGGGAGAGTCCAGTCCCCATTGTGCTATAAGAAATTCAGGAGCTTAGATAGAGGCCGTGTAACAAAGTTAGGATATTTGGTTGTGATGCAGGGCAGGGGGTTTAGGAGATCTAAAAATCATATTAAAAATTTAAAACACTTTGATTTATCATATATTTGATATATGATTTATCAAATTAGCAAAACATTTACTTTTAATAATGCTTGAAGCTAATACTGCAGCTACAGTAGTTATGAATAATTTAAATTTGAATTTACATGTTTAATCATTTCTGTCTTAAAAAATAGCAAAATGCAATGTTAGGTTGACTGTTTCTCTGATTTCCATGTAAATTACCAGGGTTAATAAATTTGCTTGTCACTTAACAGAGTCTAGAATTATTCAATTACTAAGTATTTCTTCCTATGTTTTTGTATTTCTCTTATAAGGTCTTCTGGAAGAAAAACTCTGTAGTAATATAATACCTGGCTCTTTTGACATATTGGAGTAAAGATTACATTTTTAAATCTAATAAAAAACAGATTATTTAAACAAAAATTAAACCTTGAATCCAACTATCTTATTTCAAATGTTTGTTTTCTTTACTTTTACTGTTAATAACATCATCTTAGAAGCTTAATAAATTTTCCTTTGTGTTTTGCTCAGTGCATTTGACATATTTGTTTTAGGTAAGATCTCTTTCAATTTAGTTGAGATTCCTGTTCTCTAAAGGAAATGGGCCAGGGAAAGGTGAGAGGGGAGTAACAGAGCTGTCTGAGGAATTGTAGAACTTGAGATGATAAAACAACAGGTGGTCAATGAGTTTTATAAACCTATACCTGAGTACAGACAAGAAAAGCTGTGCTCTAGAAGAAGACAAGCCCAGAGGTCATCAGCAAGTTGTGCTGTCTCAAGAGCTCTGTGTCAAGGCGGAAAATGTTCTCAGATACCAAGAAGCTGACCCAAGCCAAAGACCACACTTAGACCAAACTTTTATGACACATGGGCTTCATCCTGTTACTATACTTTTCCCCTCACTTTTCCATGAGGTACCACCAACATGTTCTCTTATTCACTTATGTATTCATTTAGCACATGCCTGTTGAGCATGAAGTGTGTGCAAAGCACTGGGCCATGCACTAACGCCATAGGCATGGCTAGCCCAATGCCTGCACCTTGAGCCCCTTATGGAAGTCAGCAACCTGCACATGCTCAGACCCCTACCCACACCAGGAAAAAGCACACTGTCTCCCTCCAAGTGTCAACATCAAACAAAAAAATTCCACAGAAACCACTTAAAATCAGAAGACAAAGTTGAAGCCGTATATGTTGAAGTTGTCATTAGACTTGCTGCCTGTTTCTCTTTAGCAGTTTAACCTTCATTCTGGTAATCAATCCTTTTTTTATTTATTTCAATATCATGGTGCCTGGACTAGGACTTATATTTTCATAGCTAATTACAAATATACACATATTTCCTTAAAGGTATATAAAATTATTATCTTGGCCTAGATAAGTTTAAAACCCTTTATGCTTAAATTCCCCTATGGTTCACTGGAAGTGCTGTAGCCAGTGTCCTCAAGGTAGTGAAGAACCATGATCGGCCAGAGTAGATGCAGGAGATAACATGTGCAATGATGAAAACATCTTTGTTTCCTTACCCTGCACCAGGCTTCGTGCCGTGTGCTGGGGCTAGAAAGATAGATTTGACCACAGGATGAAAATAATCACAAGTTAAATTCCTGCCTCAAGTTTCTCATGCTTTCTCAAAGCACACAGACACATCAATGCTAACCATGCAATCAAATGGACATATAAAGATACATATGAACTGGATACTGCAAAACGGAAGCATTACAAAATTGATCTGAAAACAGGAGAGGGGTCAGAGAGAGTTTCACAAAGTAGGCGACAACTGACTCAAATCCCATCAGACAAGTGGGAGCTTTCTAGATAAAAAGAGTGGAAAGGCATTCAAAGCAGCGAAATAGCCTATTGCATTTGGAGAATTGGGGAGCAGTTTGATGTGGCTACAATAAAGATGTGGCAAGGGATCAGGCTGAAAGGTAAGCAGAGATAAGATCCCAATGAGCTTTGAATTCACCACTAAGGATAAGCTTGAGTTTGGGGTTGGAGAATTACATAATTAATTTGGGTATGAAGCTAGAGGTATAAATTGGGAGTCTTTGATTTATGGGTTGAATTTGAAAGTGCAATACATTATATAGAGCTTGTGAGTCAGAAGAGAGGCTGAGAATCTAACTCTTTTGAGCACCATCATTTAAGAAGCAGGAAGAGAAATAAGAGTCCACAGAGGAGTTTTTAAATGAGCAGCCAGAAAACAAGAAGAAAATCGTAAATGAGGAAGAAGGCACAAAAAGGGAGTTTTGAGAAGGAAGTCTCTAGCAGTGCAGTGAAGAGGTCAAGTAAGATGAAAACATAAGATTCCAATAGACTCACCAAGCAGATGATCCCGGGTAGAACAGGAGAGAAGTCAGATTGCAGGAAGCTAAGATAGAAATAACAGATGAAGGAGTGAAGACAATTCAGCCTTGCCTCATAAAGAAACATAAGGCTAGAGAGGACCCAGGAGCCATGAGGTTTTGTTCTGAAGATAAATGAAACTTAAGCATTACACCAGGGGAGAGGAAGAAGTTCAAAATATGAGACTTAAAGAAGGTCACTGCAGAATTGAAGTGTCAAAGGCAGTAAGAGCAGACAGGACTGCAATGTCAGCAGAACATTGGACTCTAAGAAAAAGAGACGAAAAGAAAAACAGGTGCAGTTGAAGACTATTCTAAAAAAAAATCAGTGTTAAGTGAACAGTGTTTATTCCTCCTAGGTCTGGTGAGAAGAAAGGTCTAGGGTAAGAGACATTAGGAAAGTCATAAAAGTTGGAACAACTTGGCATAGGAGATAGCAAAGGAAGTTCAACAAAGGCACTTTGGAGGATCACTGGGTGGTTTTGAGGGTCTACTTAGGATTAGAGATCCTACCTTTTTCTAATGACATTAATCCACAATGCTCTGGGTTTCCAAGAATAAAAGGAGAGATGAATTGATCCGGGTTTGGGCATCGCATGGCAAATGGGCAAGAGAGTTGAAGGTGCTAGCAAGAGAAGCTTAAAAGATGTAGGTGGAAAAGGGAAGGAAATTAATCTAGCTGATGTATGTTACTCAGAAGGCAAAGGGAAATGTCAAGGAACTAGAAGTCTTCACAAATTCAAAGACCAAAGAGGATGAAACTTAGAAAGTGAGACAACTGTTAAAGACAAAAAGCAGTAGTTCAGAAATAGATGAGTTCCTAGTTCCTAGTGGTGACCAGATCCAAGGTGTGAGCATGAAAGTGAGTTCTGGGAGCAGAGTGAAGGTATAGATATTGGCATTGAGATAAATGAACTCCAAGCTACTGATTGTGCATACCAACTGTATGTTTCTCAGGGCTTTATTTATTAGATGCCAAGCATAACACCTCTAACAACCCTATGAGATAGAAACTATTATTTTCATCATCCTCATTTTACAGATGAAGAAACTGAGACACAGAAAGATGAAGCAACTTGCCTAAAGTCACACAGCTATACTAGAAGGACTAGGGATTTAAGCCCAGGCAGTCTGGCTCCAGAATTCTTGCTCCCAACACTACACTACACAACTTTCCCCAGAATGGCACAGTAGCATCTTGGAGCTATAAGCAGCATGGCTCAAATCAGGAGATTTTTGTAGGAAGGTGGAAGATGAATGATCACCTAAAATGTAACTTAATGCCCTCCCTAATATCTGCAGCATTAGTACTGCATTTATTGAGCTTCCACTATGTGCCAGTTTGTGCTATTTTAAAACAATTGATCCTAGTATAGCAGCTATAGAGCTAGGATTTCATTTTGTCTGTATTCCTTCCCTGGAATTTTCACAAAAGGTTTTTGTTATTTAAAAAAAATGATAGCCTGGTATTCAGCCTGCTGGGTAGTAGGATCTTAAATGATTCTATAAAAATCCACTGTCTAGCAGCCAAATATACTCATCTGAGAAATAACTGAACAATTCACGGTAGACTCAAATGGTGCTGCATCCACCGGAATAACTAGCTGGTGATAGTTTACTTTACAGCCCACCTACAACAAAACTGAGAAGTTGCACCTGACACTAGTCAACCTGGCCATCCTAGAACTATCTATACTGCAATATCTTAGCACATCCTAAGGAAAATATTTAGAGATCACACTCATTTTTTAACTCAGATTTTAAACACTCTAGAATACTGTGGCTATGTGAAAGAGCTCCTCCTCGCTCAAATATTCAACTACATCAAGTTGCTTTTTTCCGTTTTCAACATTTTCTGAGAATTATACCAAGAGTTGTGGCTTAACTGTCAGCATTGCATAAATTTTCTAGCACCTGGGTTATCGGTGGAAGTAGGATGTCAATATAATGTCATAACATACTCTATTCAATATTTGTGGTAATAAACTTCAGAATGAATTATGACATACCATAATTTTTCTGTGTTAATGAAGGATGGAGTTGCCTGTGTTTAAATTTTATAGCCTCCTTTTAACAACAGTTACAATTTCATTGGTCTTCTTCCAAAAATATTTGTAGGAAGTATCTTATCCCGTCCCACCCTCCATCAGAAAATACTAAAGTCAAAATGTAGCCATAGTAAGCTAAAAATGTAAAGTTAAGAATCATTATTCTCTACAATGTGAATTATCAGGACTTGCTAATCAGCCATACGAAATGCAAACACTGGCATTGAAATAGGAATTTTTGGAAGGCAGGATAGCCTAGAGGCTTCAGTTTGAATTTCTTCATTTGTCTGAGTATGTTTCCTTGTCCATAAAATAATGACTTCTTCCCACGATTTTTATGAGAATCACATTTATTCAAGCATTTGCCACACTGCTTAATTTAGCACAAAACTAGATAATATCATTTATCTTTTCGTCCTTTTCATTTGACTTCTCAGCAGCTCTTGTCCCAGTGGCCCTCGTTCCTTCTTGATACACCCTCTTCTCTTGGGTTTTCTCATATTTTCTTTGTCTTCTGATATCTTAAGGACTCCTTTGCTGGTTCTTCTTCATCTATGCAATCTCTAAATGTCACATTCCCTTACAGTTCAACACTAAGTCCTCTTCTATTTTTCTCTCTCAGCTCTCTCACCAGGCAAACTCACCCTCTCGCAGGCCTCAAAGAGTACCTACCTGCCAAATTAACAGCTCATTTCTCTCCTCTTAGTTTCAGACTCATGTATTCTTTGTAACTACTTGATATCCCAACATGGAGATCTTACAGACATCTCAAAGCCTCACGTTCAAAACCAAGTCAGGGCCGGGCGCGGTGGCTCAAGCCTGTAATCCCAGCACTTTGGGAGGCCGAGGCAAGAGGATCACGAGGTCAGGAGATCGAGACCATCCTGGCTAACACGGTGAAACCCCGTCTCTACTAAAAATACAAAAAATTAGCCAGGTGTGGTGGCAGGAGCCTGTAGTCCCAGCTACTCAGAAGGCAGAAGGCTGAGGCAGGAGAATGGCGTGAACCCAGGAGGCGGAGCTTGCAGTGAGCAGAGATCGCGCCACTGCACTCCAGCCTGGGCGACACAGTGAGACTCCGTCTCAAAAAAAAAAAAAAAAAAAACAAAAAAAAACCAAGTCAGAGCTGACCCCTGAAGGCCATGCCTGCTCAGACTTGCCCTTTCTCATGCTCCCTCTCCCTGGAAATGCTCCACCATCCACCCAGTAGCTCCAGGCTGCAATCTGAGCATCATCTGATTCTGTTCTTTCTCCACCGTCCATACCTAATCCATGCCAAGCCCTGCCTGTGCCCTATAAGAAGATCCTCATGTTGCCTTTCAATTCTAAAGTCTCGGCTTCTTAGAGCTGGCATTCAAAAGAATTAGCACATTTCAAAACCCTCTACTAAAGTGTATCTTAGAGATTATTTATAAATGAAGGGTTTGATCACAACTATAAAAATATTAATAGTTTAAAGGCAAAGAATATTCCTAAGAACACTCAGTGTTACTAAGTTTTAAAAAAGAGATACATGGTAAAATAAGTTTGGAAAATGCTAGATTAAACAGAATTAAGGTTTTCACTGTTGTCATTGCTGTTTTAACTCCAGACTTCTCAGAGTTTTTGAACAATCCTCATGAATCCATAAGAGGAACATGACCCGTGTGTCACATATTCACCACCCTCTGGTTTATTCTATCAAAAGGGGCCCAGAGCCAACTTCATTCTTATCTGGGCCACCCTCAATTTCCCTAAGGACTGCCATTCATTTTATATCTTGTTTTCATCTGGAACTCCTGAACTCCTGTTCCTTTTCACATGACATTCCTCTTCTTCTTGGCATCAGCTGTAGGGTAAATGTGAAGTTTACCACATATCCTTAACTGCTCTTTATTTCCCACAAGAGCACCAAACAAGTTTTCATAAAAATATCAGACTTTCCCAAGGGCTTGGAGAGGCAAGGAGCATTACGTCATAGCAATTCAAACACCTTAGAACCGAAGATTAGATATCTCCATTCTTAAAAATCCTCTCCTCCTCTCCACCAGAAACCTCTGATTGGCCACCATTGTCCATTTATTCCAGAGTACTGACAGATTGCCTAATCTCTCTCCTTCTTACTCCCTTCCCTCTCTTCTCTACTCTTCTTGGCTTTTCTCCTCTCTCAAACTATACAGTATTTACTTTCAATGCATATCAGATTGACTATTTATTTGATTCCTTCTTCTTTTTCAATCCAGCCAATCTACTCCCAACTGCTTACCAAGTCATTTTTCTAAACAAAGCACTTCCTTCAATAGAAAAACTGCAAGATATGGCTTCAGCTACCAACCTAAAATAATTCAGCATCTTATAGTCAGCAATTGAGTTCTTTTGAAGGGAAGTGTCTTTGCTTAGAAAACTTTGATTGTGACATCCCTTTATTTCAGAACATATTCTAGAATTTCTGTTTCATAGAATTCTTCTTGAATCACAAATTTAAAAAAAAGACAAGACAGAAACAAATTGACATCTCAGGGTAGGTGAATGTTGGGAAGTGGATGTAAAGAAAAATCAACCTGCTGCTTATATAATTGTCATGCAACCCAGGACCTCATGCCATGCCCTTACCCATCCCTGTGGGTACAGGAGTTGTCTCAACAATGATCAGACCAGCAATCTGATAGCAAAAAATACCCTACTGATTCTCCTCTTTTCTCCCACCTCATCCTCATGCACACACATGCATACAAATGCATACACCTTCCCAGGTTTTTCCCACAGGGCTCTCTGGAAGTCTGCTCAGCAGTGTCTTAAACTCCTGCATTACAGCAGGTTGTTGCCTGAGGTCCCAGAATCACTCAGGTCTGGATGGACCACAGCCCAGTGTGCTCAATGCCACTGTGTTCCAGAATATGTTGCTGAGACATCACTCAAGCCACCACGAACTCCGCTGCACCTCTCCTATCCGTTGGAGTTGTTGCTGGCCATGTTGTTACCCTCCCCAAATCACCCACTTTGACTCTGACTGAGCATCAGTCAGCACTACAGCTTCTGCCCCTTGTACTTCCTCCTCTCTGCCAGTGCTCAGCTTCTCCTCAAGGTTCTGATATACCTCCCTCTTCTCAACATTGCCTGTTCTTAAAGGAGCCCCTAAGCAGACCTGCTTTTTTCAGCTGCTATGAACCTTTTGGGATTTTATGCTGAAAATTCTCTCTTCCCAGAGGCATGTGTGCCACCAGGATGGCTAGTCCCATGGTCATTTTCTCAGGGCTGCTATAGAGCAGAGAAACAATTCATGGGCCAAATCTAGCCTGCCACTTGAGTTTGTAAAGTTTTATTGAAAAACAGCCACACCAATTCACCTACACATTGTCTAGGGTTGCTTTCTACTGCAATGGTGGAGGTGAATAGGGTGACAGATAAAGACCTTGTAGCCCACAAAGCTTAACATATTTACTTTTTGGTCCTTTTCAGTAAGTATGTTGATCTCTGCTATAGATGAAACAACAGAACTGTATGATTCCTCAATTTAGCCAGCATAATTTGAGGAGCATCCCCTTGGTGCACACAGACCCAGTAATCTTATCTGGAAAACTAACAGGATAAATGAATCAAAGGATAAAACACTATTCTAACACATGCCCGGGACACTATAGGCCATTCTGATCATGAAAATTAAATAAACAAATAAAGCAAATTTTTTTTGGGAGGGAGTCTCGCTCTTGTTGCCCAGGCTGGAGTGCAATGGCACCATCTCAGCTCACTGCAACCCCTGCCTCCTGGGTTCAAGCATTTCTCCTGCCTCAGCCTCCCGAGTAGCTGGAATTACAGGCACCCACCACCACACCCAGCTAATTTTTGTATTTTTAGTAGAAACAGAGTTTCACCATGTTGGCCAGGCTGGTCTCTAACTCTTGACCTCAGGTGATCCACCCACCGCAGCCTCCCAAAGTGCTGGGATTACAGGTGTGAGCCACTGCACCTGGCCAAAACAGGTAAAAATTTAAAACTGAATGGGAATAATAACCCCAGGATAAAGATCCCGACTATCTGTGGGTAAAGGGAAAAGAACATGTTCAGGGACGGGTAGAGAGGATTTCAACTGTATTTATAACAAAGGTTTCTTAGATTGAATGGTAAGTACAAATGGATTCATTTCTTTCCCTATGTTACATATCTTCCAGATCTATTCCCCCTTTCTCTGTCCTGCTCTGAGCCACAGGAGGCTGGCTATTTGACCTCACCAAAGGGCTCTTTTGCCTCCTGTTTTCTGACTGGGTCCAGCAAATAGACAACTGCAGCAGGACAGGGAAGAAAGACAGGGTATTTATTCCCCCAACTTCCTGCACACTGAATGTGACCCTTGAATGAAAGCCACAGCTCTTAGCAGGAGACCGCCACACAGCCATCTCTGACTCCAGTAACTGCTTCCTCCCCAACTCCTTGAATTAGCCATCTATTGCTACATAACAAGTGACCCCCAAGAACTGCAGCTTAAAACAGAAATCTTTTATTATCTCAAAGTTCCTGGGTGCTTCTTCCTCAAGGTCTCTCGAAAAACTGTAATCAGGGTATTACCTGGAGCTGTATTTTCACCTGGCTCAACTGAGGGAAGATCCACTTCCAACTCACTCATATGGTGTTGACAGGATTCATTTCCTCACAGATTGTTGGACTGAAGCATCCCTCAGTTTCTTCTCATGAAGGCCTTGATATAAAGCAGCTCCAATCTTGGCAGCTGGGTTCCCTCAGAGCAAGCAAGACAACCAGACAGAAGCCATTGTTGTTTTGTAATCTAATCTCAGAAGTGACATCCTATTACTTTTAGCGTGTTCTGTTTATTAGAAGCATATGACTATGTTCAGCCTACACTCAAGAGGGAGGAAGTACCCAAGGGCATGAACACCACACTCACTGGGTGGTGGGAATCCTAGAGATGGTTTATCACACTCTTTCAGGCCTAGAGCAATAACCAGCTGTTACTAGTCCTAGGGTTACTGAAACATTTCAGATTTCCCTAAACTCTGGTAGACAGTTCCTCATTAAGCTCCCTGCAAATTACCTCAGCTTTCCAGGACCCTGATTTGAAAGTGTAATTAAAGTACACTTACAATGGGAAAGTGGCTGCAAACTAAGCTTGGAAATGAGGACATCAAAGACTACTGTACGAGAGTTTGAAGGCCACAAGGGTAATATGTAACTCAGGGCTGACACTTCATTTTTCCAAACAGCTCAGTGTAAAAAATAACAGTAAAAATAGCCTGAGAAAGGTTTTAAACAAGCACAAAGTGGAGATGTCCAAACAAAAGGAGGAAGAGAGAATGAAGTTCAAGTAAAACTTTTCCATTGTAAGTAATTCCAATCCTTCCTTGGTCCTAATGTGAGAAATAGAATTCGTTCTGATAGAACAGGAAAAGATAAGAAAAAAAAATGGGGAACTAGAAATAAAGATAAGCTAAAAGCAATAATGAAAATTAATTGTAACATCTGGGAAAATTTAGTTGACCTTTCTGGGAGCAGAGACAAAAATTTCACTAAGACTAATTACCTTATTTTCAACTTTGACTTTATATTAAGTATGAATCTAGAGGGTAAAACAAATATTTACCTTTAATGAAATGATTTTCAAGTAATAATACATTTATGTCTCTCAGACAGGTTGAAAACTTTTTCCACCTCTAACGTTTTTGCCAGTACATAAGATTTTTATCAATCACTGCCATACTTATTAACCTGAACTTCAGTACTAATGTTAAAATAATTTACATTTTTATTAAAATCCTGGTTTCTTAGAAAATTATTTTTATCTCAGTAGTATCTACCATGCCCTGAAAAAGAAATAGTAGGCAAGACTTTACATGTTAGCTCAATAGCTATAGATATTAATAGGATCCTTTGTAGTTCAGAGGGGAAAACAGAACAGAGCTAGGGTTCCCACCCTTCCCTTCAACTCTTCTCCATCTAAGTATAATTGACCAAGCCAGAGTGGAGGCAACTCATTTCTGGGATATCCATCCATTAGATAAGAGATGCAGACATAATAGCCAAGAAATAAGTCTAAAATGCATGGAAGTTTTTATCCTTAGTTATTGAATGAGTTACGTATTTCCTAATTTTCTGCTGAGCCTAGAGAAGAAAATGACCAATCACTTTGGAAAGATATTGATGTTTATGAAGTATAGCCTCTGAATATCTCAAATGGAAAGGAAAGACTATATTTAAACCAAGGAAAAAATTTTACATGAGTACAATTTTATTGCTAGGGACTAACTTTCATATATAATGATTGCTTACACATAAAAATTCATCTATGACATTAAATACCAACTATATAATTCAATTAACTTTATTTTTCCCTTATAATTATCTGAAAAATTTATTCTTTTACAGTGAACAAATTCTTCCCACTCTTCTGAGCAACCATCTCAAAATATAGTAAGTACTGGCCATTTAAATAAAATAAAATTCCCTAAGTAAGCTCATCATTGGTAGTGATGACTCACTACTCTGTTTATAAGTAGGTTATAGTTGAGTAAACACTGTCAACACAAATAAATCACCTCAGACCATTATGTTGAGAAGATCATGGTTGTATTAACTGGTTTTCATGTATGCCTCATTACTTCTTTTTCTGGATTATTCATTGAGAGGGAGCACTATCTATTTAATTTTTTTAATGTCATGGAAGTAAAAGATGTGTGATGGGCACAAAAACTCTCCTGTGAATGTTAATGTTAACTTTCACTTGATTGAAAAACTGCAGTGTAATTTTTACCTGAAAAGAAACTTTGCCTTGAGTATAATACCTTCAAATTATGTAGAGCTTTTGTCCCTTAGAGTTCACATCTCCTCAATACCTAGAGAGAGATAACTGAGCTACAGAATAATAAGCTGATATATTTGAAAGAAAATGCTGGTACATTTTATTTAATCAAAAGATTTTTAAAATGACATTATCAGCTCTTTCAGACAAAAAAATGACTTCTTTGAAATTGGACATCAAACAAAAATTATACAGTGAAATTCCATTATAACTAGATAATTTTTTTAAATATCCACTCCTTCACCGAACATATATTGGCTCACCAAATATTTACTGAGCCCAACTATCATGGGCTAGGCACTGTGCCAGGTACTGGGAATACACAGATAGAGGACATAGTCTCTAGCCTCATGATACTTAGAGTCTATAGAGAAAAAGGTAAATAGATTACTAAAATATTGAGAAATAAGGACTCTAATAAAGGTGTACATTCCGCGATAGTCTCTCATTACTGTTGTAATGGAGTTGTGTTGTAGTCTTTTTTCTTTTTTTTGAGAGTCTCCCTCTGTCGCCTAGGCTGGAATGCAGTGGAACAATCCCAGCTCACTGCAACTTCAGCCTCCCGGGTTCAAGCAATTCTCTTTCTCAGCCTCCCGAGTAGCTGGGATTACAGGTTCCCACCACCACGCCCAGCTAATTTTCGTATCTTTAGTAGAGACAGGGTTTCACCATTTTGGCCAGGCTGGGTCTTGAACTACTGACCTCATGATCCACCTGCCTCAGCCTCTGTAGTCTCTTTTAACAAGAGCTAAGACATTTCTTTAAAACTCTTTTGGTAATGATCTTACCTTGGAGGTGCGGAAAGAAAAGGTATCAGTCTATGTTTGGGGGATTTTCTTATATACCATTAATACCCTTGTTTGAAAGAAACAATATGCTGATGTCCTAAAAATCTGATGAGAGAACACTGAACTGATGAGCAAAACTTGACAAAAATAAAGTTTTGATAACCAAACTCTACCTCCTCAAGCAATTAGAAAGAAATGAATCAATAGGAGATAAGCCCACTCCATTCTACCCTGCAGCTCAGTGTTAACAACAGCCTTGAAGTTAGAGGACCAGTGAGGAGTTTATGAGTGTGTGCATGGAGGAGGGGAATGGGGATCTCTGTGAAGTCTGAGTCCCAGTCACAGAGACATTAAATCTCTCCCATTCAGAACACCTCTAATCTTTTCTCCTCTAACACCCCTACATTGGAATTTTCAAGGTGTGGGACAGAGATTACACAGCCAAGTCAGCCTCCTCTCAGCTGCTTTCATTCTGTGAGAGAAAAGGCCCCAGCTGACCCTGAAAGTTTATAGTCCTGATCAGGATGGGCAAACAAGAGGTGGATCTGTCCACAACACCAAGTCAATCAGTTGTTTCATGCCTTTGTCAAGGAGCTGGTGGAAAGACTGCTGAAATTGGTCAAAATACATAAATATTTAGGTTGGTGCAGAAGTAATTGTGGTTTTTGCCATTACTTTTAATAAATTACTAATAAATTAGTAACCCCTTAGAAAAAACTTGACCAGAAGTCATTCTACAATAGGCACTTACCACATTGCAAATGTATTCCTGTTACAGGGTAGGGACTGTTATAAACTGAAGGTTTGTGCCCTCTCCCCAAAAAAATTCATATATTGAAATCCTAACCCCCAAAGTGATGGTATTAGGAGGTGGGGTCTTTGGGGCATAAATAGGTCATGTAGGTGGAGCTCTCCTGAATGGGATCAGCCTTATAAAAGGAACCCTATAGAGGTCTCCATGCTCTTTCTGCTACATGAGAATACAACAAAAAGATGGCAGTCTGCAACCTGGAAGAGGGCCTTCACCAGAAGGGGACCGTCTTGGCACCCTGATCTCAGACTTCCAGCCTTCAGAACTGTGAAAAATAAATTTCTTGTTGTTTATAGGCCACCCATTCTATGGTACTTTGTTATAGAAGCTCAAACTAACACAGGGGCCAAGTCTTTTCATCATTATGTCCCCAGTGTCTGGTACCAGTTTGTTTTCCACTACATGAGATGCTTCAGAACTTGATCGTGTTGAAATGACTGAATGAGTGAATGGTTCCCTAAGGGATTTATACTAAAGTCAAATATTGGCTTCTGGTTTCCTTATTTTATTTTTAAGCATAGGTATATAAGACAAGTGAAATAAAGACCAACTTCACTCTTTCAGCAGAAATGGGACAGGCTAGAATCCCTTCTGACCCAACTAGCCATGCTATCCTGAAATGACCTCAGGTTTCCTGTACACTTCTCTAAGTGGTGAAACATGCTCAGCATCTACCAGGTCCCAGATCCCATGAATGACATTAATTGTTTCCATAAGGTTTATTCAAAAAGGGGAGTGGAAACTGGGATTCTTCTCTTTACTACTGGCATGTTATAATGAATATGAATTATATGAATAAGTGGCAAGGTATGGCTCTCGGCATACTCTAATGGTCTACTACAAAATCAATAGGAATATGGCCAGAATGTGACAACATGGAAAATAATAAACTTCTAATTGACTCAGTTTTTTCACCTTTGCCCTGAGAACCATGATGAGCCATGAAATCCCAGAGTGCCCACGCATCACTGCAAATGCTACTGGACCAGGGCATCTTATTCTTTTTTTTATTTCCTCCCCTGTCTTCTAACCCCAACTCCATCCTAGGACCTAAGACAGTTTCCAGAGCACAGTAAATTTCAAATATTGTTCAGATGACTGGCATTTCTTCATAGCTAATATGTTATGGGGGAAATAATATCCTTAGAAATCCTCGTACATTGAAAATCTCAACAGGCCAAGAAGTGATAATTCAGATGAAGTCTACACTGAAAAACCACAATAGAGAGAACCAAACATCTCATTATCTGAAAGTAACTGCTTGAGTCTGCTATAAATGTATTTTTGTAGGGTTTCCTTAAAACTTTACTGCATGACATTTTAAAATTGAAAATAAAGCTATTTTAAATCATTGAAATTCAACTGCCCACTTGCTCAAAGAAGATATTTATACAGTTATTTGTTTCTCCAATAGGAATAACTGGCTCACTGCATGCAGTATTCAATTCTTTTGATGATATTTCAGTTTCCAAGTATACCTAAAAAGTAGAATGATCTGGCATTTTATTGAATTCTTTGATTCTATATAGGCTCATATGAGTATCACCTTTTTTTTTCTGTACTATAGATATCATTCATATTCGCCAAGGTAAGAAATTGGGTTAACCCTAGTTCACTTTTTTCTTCAAAAGTGATGTCTTTTAAATATCGGGACAAGAAATCTATATTTGAGTTTGTTATTCAGCATGGCTTATAGTTTCTATTCAGAATTCTACTTACAAATAAATCAATTCTAATTTTCTCAAAACCAAAATTACTCCAGAAAAAATTCAGCAATAGCAAACATTGATCCAGCATGAAAACTGAAATAATTTAAAATTTATTACTTGATCTGCTCTCTCATACATTCAATATTAGAAATAAAATAATTCTTAATACTCTTCCCCAAATTCTATGCCAGTAAAATTGAGTTGCTTCATCATTTTTTATATCAAAGATTCCTTTTTTAAAAACAGTTATACAAGTCAGGAATTGCTTCTCAAAAACCACATTATGTTTTATAATGATTTAATAACCATGTAATCAAAACTCTCCCAACTTTTAGTCAATATTATTTATTTGGTGAAACTCAATGAATTTTTTATGTTAAGTTAAACATAGCTTAAGCTTCTTTTATAGATGTTACTTTGAATCCATCTGTTATCATTAGATTGGGAGGGAGGAGATAGACTTTAAAATAGTTTAACTTCAGCATAATGATTAATTCTAAATTTTATTAAATCC
Organism: Homo sapiens; assembly: GCF_000001405.40. NCBI lineage: Eukaryota > Metazoa > Chordata > Mammalia > Primates > Hominidae > Homo > Homo sapiens. The sequence continues at coordinate 38,886,851 of NC_000014.9, forward strand.
TAATAACTTGCAGATATGTTACCTAATGTGTATGTTTATGTATATATTAAATGTCTCTGACATACATAGGATGCATACATATCTCTGACATACATACATATTTTAACTCCATTTTATTGATGGAGAAAGTGAAAGACTAATGGAGTTGTAAAAATTAGTTTGAAATAAGAGGAATAGGATCTGGGTTTCTCCCTCCTATTCAAGTGTGTCTCTTCTGGTTATTAACTTTTGGAGATATAGATTTTTAAATGAATTACATTAATACATTTTTAAAACCAAAATTTGTCTGTTATTATAGCAACTTGAAGTACAAAGATGTTAGTAATTTTCATTTGTTCACATTGTTCAATCGCTGTAAAGATCAAGTTTAGAACACTGTATTCAATTCCTTCGAAAGCACACACTGATGACACTGACCAATATGGAGAAAGAAGAAACTGCATTTGTAGTGATGACTGCAAACGATGAGCGCAGATGGAGAAATACTGAGTATGGGACCTAAAGGGAGCTATTCAGGTAGAGATGTTCATCAGGTAGCTCTATTTATGGACTCTTACTGTGCATCAGTTTATTACAAAGGCACTTGGGACACAAAAACAAATCCCAGTAAGGAAACAAAGGACGGAATAGGTGTCAGTGTCTGTCAGAGTCTGGTTAGGGCATAGAGGTCACACTAATTACTTTTAATAGAAAAAAATTTAGTGTAGATAGTTATATTGAGTAGATGAAAAGGCAAAGAGAGAACTCTAAGGTATCACAGAGATATCACCTGCAGAAAGCCTCTTCTACCCCTACAATTGGGAAAACAAAGTGAAAGGTTGGGATTATTAAAATTTAGAAGGTTTAGAGGAGGTGACTCATACGCCTGAGACCCAGACATCTAAGAAGGGGCACTGCTCACCTAATGTGTCTGATTCTGCCAGTGTTAGAGAACCTGAACTGCAAAGTGCATTTGATTGCTGCTCTTGGATTCAACTGCCACTGCCAGGGTGAAGTGAGGCAAGGCAGATCCTGACAAAATTAGGAAGTACACATAAACTCAACGGAAAAAAGGAAGTGCATTTTCCCTCCACCAGCTGTGCAGTCTCCCTGGAACCCCTGCTGAGAGAGCCTAAGATGAGAGAAATGGCCAGGCAGAGATCTGATTTACAGAGTGCCAGCCCCAGCACCACAGAGCAAGCTATACAAGGATATGGGTTTGGAGCTGAGAGACATCATAGCTCAATAACTGAAGCAGAATGATTTGTCCCAATTGAGGGGAAGGGGTTCAAAAAGGTTTTGATAAATAAAGTTGAATTGAGTCAAAGAAGTTACAATTTATTGAATAATTAGAATGTGTCAAGCATGGTATTAAGCACTTCAAGTTCATTAGTTCATTTAATTGAATCCTCACAACAACCATTTGAAGTAGATATTATTATCCCAAGTTTATAGATAAGAAAATTGAGGTTCAAGGAGGTTATGTGACTTGACCAAAGCTATATAGTTAGTAATTTGGGATCCAGGACTCAACCCCAGGTCCATCTGCCTCCAAAATGTAAGCTCTCAAACATTATAACATACACTCTCTTGAAAGACTGGTAGGTGTTTAATAAATAGAAACTGAGCAAAGGACATTCCAAGCAGAGAGAAAGCACAACCAAAGTCATAGAGGTAAGAAATAGCCTGGCAGAAGTAGGAAACCAAAAGAAATTCCACAGTTTAAATCTAACGTAAAAAGGAATACAGAGGCCAGGCACAGTGGCTCACGCCTGAAATTCCAGCACTTTGGGAGGCTGAGGCAGGCAGATCACCTGAGGTCAGGAGTTCGACTCTACTAAAAAGAAATACAAAAAAATTAGCCAGGTGTGGTGGCATGCGCCTGTATCCCAGCTACTCAAGAGGCTGAGGCAGGAGAATCGTTTGAACCCGGGAAGTGGAGGTTGTAGTGAGCTGAGATCACACTCCAGCTTGGGCAACAGAGCGAGAATATGTCTCAAATTTAAAAAAAAAAAAAAGAATACTGAGTAAATGGTTCATTGGATAGTTCATCAGAAACCAGTGCAAGGAAGACTCAATAGAGCATGTTTTCAAGGATTCATGTTTTCATGGATCAGCTTTATCCTGAGGGCAGTGGAGAGCCATTGAAAGGTTAAACAGCAGAATAGCCTAATACATTTTGTACTTTTTTTAAGTGTTCTTGCAAATATGTGAAAGGCTTATTGAACAGATGTCAGAATGGAAACAAGAGAGCTAGTTAGGAGACTTTTCCCAGAATCCAGAGAACATATGAGAACGGCGTGAATAAAAGCAGTAGTGATGGTGGTAGACAGAAGAGAATCAAGAGGAGAGATGCTAAGAAGGTAGAAGGTATGAACTGATGACACACTGTAAGGGATTTAAAAGACAAGAGAGAGAAAGCAATGCAGGGCAACTCCTGATCTTCTAACTGGGGGACCAGGTGAATGATGGTGCCTTTGATCAAGTCAGGAAAAGGTTGGAAATAAGACATTTGGGAGAAGGAGATATTAAGTTTTATACATGTGGAGTTTAAGATAGAAAATACAGGTTAAGATATGCAATCAGCAGTATGATATAGATTGCTGGTGTTCAGAAAGGAGGTATGGGCTGGAGATCAAGGTCATCATTTTTAGTGATTAATGTCTTTATCTGCCTTTTCTGGAAAATACACAAAACCAAGGGGCTAAACATTAGGAAAATCTCTTTTAACCTTGAAAGTATCAAACTTGGATTTGCAGCAAGCTAAAAAATCCAGGAATATTAGGAGAGAGTTTTTCAAATCTATTATGTATAATTGGTACAAAAATTTCAACTAATTGAGAGAAAAAATAGAAAGACACAAACGTCAACCAGAAATATAGCATCCTCAGCATGCTCCTTGAATTTCACTTTTAAATAAATTTAGAATTGTTCTTATTGCATAAAAAGTCTCATCGATTATTTTAACAGATATCCCAAACCTACTCCTAATGTACTAGATTGCTAGATATTTCTATTTGTATATATTAGAATGTGGGAGTATTTGTAATAAATCAGGTAACTCAAGCAAACTGTACCAGAATACATTATCTTTTTTTTAAGACAAGGTGTAGCTCTGTTGCCCAGGCTGGAGTGCAGTGGTGCAATCACAGTTCACTATAGTCTCAACCTCCCAGGCTCAAGCAATCCTCCCACCTCAGCCCCGACAAGTAGCAGGGACTGCAGGTGCACCTCCAAAACCGGCTAATTTCTTTTTTTTTTTTTTTTTTTTTTTTTTTTTTAGAGACAGGATCTTGCTATATTGCGCAGCCTAATCTCAAACTCCTGGGCTCAAGTAAACTTCCTCCCTTGGCCTCCCAAATTGCTGGGATTACTGGCATGAGCCACCACACCTGGCTCATTATCTTTTTTTAATAATACTTAGCCCTGATTCTTCATAAATTGCTACATAGGATTATAATTATCGATAAAAATAAGAACAATCTTTTCAAGTAATAATTAACATAAATACTTATCCACTCAAAAAGACAATTTTTATAGCTATAGTAATATTCAATCCCATTTCTCACTCTTAACAGAATCCCTAATTTCCAATCATGTACTTAGGGGATTGGCTTAAGCATGTCAGCAAAATTACAAGCTCTGCCACAGTTATTGATTCAGGGATGGTGAAGGAACCCAAGCCTAAACAAGTCAATGCAGTATATAACACTCTCTTGGCATGCTATCTAAGTCAATCCAAGGAGAGTGAGTCTCAGGACTTTTGTTTGATGGTTAGAAGAGAAAAAACAGTATCACAGGAGGCAATAAAGAGATAGGAAAAAACTCATACTTGGTGATATCACTGGGTATTCAGACCACCCCTAGATTAAACCAACATTAGATAAAACCACCTCCAAATTCCAGCCTACCTCTTGTTCAAGTCAGTTTGAGTTGGGTTCTCTGAAACATCACCAACTGTTTCATTTTCTGCAATGAATAGAATGGATATTACTTATCAGGGTTTTTTTCTTCTATTAAGAAAGGTAATTAACAAAACTCCACTATGTAACTTCTTGAAATCTATCTGAAATGATCACACAAAAAAATTCAAGTAGTTAATATCCTAAAATTAAGAATTTTTTTTAGGCCGGGCATGGTGGCTCACACTTGTAATCCCAGCACTTTGGGAGGCTGAAGTGGGCGGATCACGAGGTCAGGAATTTGAGACAAATCTGGCCAACACAGTGAAACCCCATCTCTACTAAAAATACAAAAATTAGCTGGGCGTGGTGGCAGGCACCTGTAATCCCAGCTACTTGGGAGGCTGAGGCAGGTCAGCCTCCACTTGAACTCAGGAGGCAGAGGTTGCAGTGAGCCAAGATCACACCACTGTACTCCAGCCTGGAAAACAGAGCTAGACTCTATCTCAAAAAAAAAATTATTTTCATTAAAATTGCCTATGTTTATCAATAACGTAATACAGATTAGAATATTCCACAGGAAAAAAATTAACAGTGATTAAACATTTTTATTTATATAGAGATTTTATTTCAAGGTTAGTATATTAAATGTTACTTACAAGTAATATCCATTGTTATTGAAAGATAAAATTAAGGTTCTATACTTTCAAACCTTGAAAATTTTATTTCAAGACCTCCAGTTCCAATCACTCACATTTATAGACTTATATAACCTTATTAGGTTACCTACCTCATACGCTGTTTGACTTTGGACAGCATAGCATCCAATTCTCTGATACTAAACTCAGCACAACATCCTATCTTGCTCTGAGGCGGGCAGAGGATTGGTTTTGCTAGCAACACCCAATAATAATAAAGGGAGACCTTACACCTCAAACACCATATTTCTTCTCTCTGTGGCTTCTCTCATGATACTGCCTCTTCTTCTGTCCATTGCACTCCAACCCAATCAATTTAAATAGGCAAATAAGCTTACCAACCTATTTGAAATTTCCAGATGGGAAACAGGAGCAAATGCATGTAGTTGAGATAATTCACAAATACTGCCTCCCCTGACTTAGCATACTATACATTTAAAACATTAATCAGTCCCTTCAGAGACTCATTTTAAAAATTTGATAAAGAAAACACTACATAACAGAAAACAACTAACAAAGTGGCTATAGCAAATCCTTTCCTATAATTACTTTACATGTGAATGGATTGAACTCCCCAATCAAAAAAAATAGAATGGTTGAATAGATTTAAAAAATAAGACCCAATTATATGCTGTCTACAAGAAACTCACTTTATATTTAAGGACATACACATGCTGAAAGTGAAGCAATGAAAAAAAGATATTTCATGCGATGGTTACTAAAAGAGAGCAGGGGTGGCTATACTTACAACACACAAAATACACTTTAAGTCAAAAACTGTCACAAAAGACAAAGAAGGGCACTGTATAAAGATAAAAAGGTCAATCCACCAGGAAGGCATAATAATTATAAATATATGCACTCAACATCATAGTACCTAAATATATAAGGCAAACATTGAGAAAACTGGAGGGAGAAATAGCAATATGATAATAATAGAATACTTCAATACCTCACTTTCAATAATGAACAGAACATCCAAATAGAATATCAACAAGGAAACGAGAGCTTGAATTACATTATAGGCAAAATGTACCTAAGAGGTGTATACAGAATATTCTACCCAATGGCAGCAGAATACACATTCTTCTAACGTGGATCTTTCTCCAGAATAGATCTATTGTGATATAAGTCACGAAAAAAGTACTTGGTGCAGCAAAAGCAATACTAAGTGGGAAATTTAGCACAATAAACACCTACATTTAAAAAAAGAAAGATCTCAAATAAACAACCTAACTTAACACTGCAAGGAATTTTAAAAAGAGCAAATTAAGTCCAAGTTAGGAAATTAAGAAAATTTTTAAACTAGAGCAGAAAACACAAGAAATTAAAAATAGACAAAATAAGAAACTGAGTTTTTTTAAAGATAATCAAAATTGATAAACTCTTAGCTAGACTAACTTAAAAAAGGAGAGGAATCCAAATAGATAAAATCAGAAACGAAAGAGGCTTTCCAGGTGATGCTACAAAATAAAAAGGATTATATGAGAATACTGTGAATAATTATACACCAAAGAAATGGATAATCTAGAAAAATGGATAAATTCCTAGAAACACAAGCTGTCAAGACTAAATCATGAAGAATTGGAAAGCCTGAAAAGACCTATAACTAATATGGAGATTGAATCAGTAATCAAAAACCTCCCAACAAAGAAAACCTCGAGACCAGATGGCTTCACTGGTGAATTCTAACAAACATTTAAAAAAGAATTAACATCAATCCTTCTGACCATTAAGGAAGGGGGAACATTTCTAAACTCATTTTATGAGGCCGACATTACCCTGATACCAAAGAACAGCAGACACTATGACAAAAGAAAACTGTAAGCCAATATCCTTGATGAATATAGATGCAAAAATCCTAAACAAAATACTAGCAAACTGAATCCAACAGCACATTAAAAGGATCATACACCATGACCAAGTGGAATTTATCCCTGGGATGAAAGGATGGTTCAACATATGAAAATCAATTAAGGTGATACACTGCATTAACAGAAGAAAGAATAAAAATCACATGATCATCTCAATCAATGTAGAAAAAACATTTGATGAAATTCAACACCCTTTCATGATAGAAACTCTCAACAAATTAAGAATATAAGAAAAGTACCTCAACATAATAAAGATCTTACATAAAAATCCCACAGTTAACATCATACTCAATGGTAAAAAACTAAAAGCTTTTTCTCTAAGCTCAGGAAAAATGCCCATTCTCACCACTTTTATTCAACATGGTACTAAAAGTTCTCACCAGAGCAGGTAGGCATGAGAAAAAAATAAAAGGCATCCAAATTAGAAAGGAAGAAGTAAAATTGTCCCTGTTTACAGATTATATGATCTTATATATAAAAAATTCTAGACTCAATTTAAAAACTGTTAGAATAAAAAATTCAGTAAAGTTGCAGGATAGAAATACAACATATAAAAATCAGTTGCATTTCTATACACTAAAAACAAACTATCCTAAAACAGAAATTGAGAAAACAATCATATTTAAAATAGCAACAAAAAAATAAAATGCTTAAGAATAAATTTAACTAAGGGGGGGAACGACTTATATAATGAAAACTAAAAAACACTGATAAAAGAAATTAAACACGACATAAACAAATGGAAAGACGTTTGATGTTAATAGAGTTAAAGACTTCATATTGTTAAAATGTTTGTACTATTTAAAGTGATCTACAGATTCAATGAAATCCCTATCAAAATCCCTTGGCATTTTGTAGAGAAACAGAAAAAGCAATTCTAAAATTTATATTGGAACCACAAAAGACCACAAATAGTCAAATTAATCTTGAGGAAAAAAGAACAAAGTTGGAGGCATCGTACTTCCTGATTTCAGAAAAATATCACAAAGCTAGAGTAATCTAAACGTCATGGTACTGGCATAAACACAGACATATTGACCAATATAACAGAACAGAGAGCCCAGAAATAAATCCACACATATAAGGTCAACTGATCTTTGGCAAAAGTGCCAAGAATATACAATGGGGAAAGGACAACCTCTTCAACAAATGGTTTTAGGAAAACTGGATATCCACATTCAAAAGAATAAAAGTGAGGCTGGGCGCGGTGGCTCAGGCCTGTAATCCCGGCCCTTTTGGAGGCCAAGGCAGGTGGATCACTTGATGCCAGGAGTTCAAGACCATCCTGGCCAATATGGTGAAACCTCATCTCTACTAAAAATACAAAACTTAGCTGGACATGGTGGTGCCTGCCTGTAATCCCAGCTACTCTGGAGGCAGAGGCAGGAGAATCACTTGAACCCAGGAGGCAGAGGTTGCAATGAGCTGAGATTGCACCACTGCACTCCAGCCTAAGCAAAATAGTGAGACTACGTCTAAATAAATAAATAAATAAATAAATAAATAAATAAATAAAAGTGGACTCTTATACCACGCAAAAAATCAACTCAAAATAGATTAAAAATTTTAAACTAAAACCTGAAAATGTACAACTTCTAGAAGAAAACATAGAAGTAAAGCTTCATGATATTGATCTTAGTAATGATTTCATGGATATGACATCAAAAGCACTGGTGACAAAAACCAATATAAATAAGTGAGACTACATCAAACTAAAAGTTTTTGCACAACAAAGGAAGCAATGAACAGTGTGAAAAGACAAACTATAGAATATGAGAAAATATTTGCAAACTATATATCCAATGAGGGTATACAATCCAAAATGTACAAGGAACTTCTACAACTCAATAGAAAAAATAAAAACCTAATAATCCAATGTAAACAGGGGCTAGGGAATTGAATAGACATTTCTCCAAAGAAGATATACAAATGGCCAATAGGTGTATGAAAAAAATGCTTGACATCACTAGTCATCAGGGAAATGCATATCAAAACCACAAAGAGATATTACACCTGTTAGGATGACTACTATCAAAAAAATAAAAGACAACAAATATGGCAAGGATGTGGAGAAATTGGAACATTTAGCACGCCGTTAGTGAGAGTGCAAAGTGGTGCAGCCACTATGGAAAACAGTATAGTGTTTCCTCAAAAAATTAAAAATAGAATTATAATATTATCCAGCAATTTTACTTCTGGGCATTTATTCAAAATAATTTAAATCAGAATCCCAAAGAGATATTGGCACTATCACATTTATTGCAGCACTATTCATAAGAGCCAGGAGATGAAAATAACCTAAATGTTTATGGACAGATGAATGAGTTGATAAAGAAATATGATACGTAGATATAATGGAATATCATTCAGCCTTTAAAAAGCAGGAAACTCTGCAATATGTGACAACATGGATGAACCTTGAGGACATTATGTGAAGTGAAATAAGCCAGTCACAGAAAGGCAAACACTGCATGATTCCACTTATGAAGTAACTAAAATAGTCAAATTCATAGAATCAAAAAGGAGAACGGTGGTTGCCAGGGGCTAGAAGGGGGAACAATGTGAAATTACTAATCAACAGGCATAAAGTTTCCATCGAGCAAGACAAATAAGCTCTAGGAATCTGCAGAATATCATTGTACCTATAGTCAACAATACAGTTTTGTATACAGAAATTTATTGACAGTAGATCTCGTGTTAAGTGTTCTAGCCACAATAAAATAAAATCTTTTAAAAAGAAATCATTCGTGGCATAACTACAATGTGCAAGATTTTGTACTAAAGGCTGGGTGGACAAAAGATGTATTAGATGTTGCAAGGCTGGGCTATTAAATACCAAGTACTCTAAGACACTATTTCTAAAATTTGTATGGCTGCTGCCAATGATTCATGTGTGCCTAATTTAAACAAATCATCAGGATTTCCTTAGATGTAGATAATATCAGATGAACTTATCCAGATATTCTACACTGTTTCCCATTCTAATAATCAGACACTTTGATTAACATTCAACTTTTATTAAAAAGCAGAATTCTGATACTAGGGAAAATTTACAAGAAAAGCCAACACCAACATGCAAATATATTTATCACTAAGCTAATATGGCTATGTCAGTCTAAGCATTTGTTTTCCTTTATAACCGGAAATAGTGGTTTTCAACCTGTGGTCTGTGGAACCTCATGCTCCATGAGGTTACTTGAGGGGTCATAGTAGGAATGACAATCACATGAGGCTTGGACCTCATGCCTGCTTCAAATTGCAGCAGCTCTATTTTTATGTATTTCATAAATGAAAGGGGTGCAGAGGAAATGTGAGGAGTCATGTAAAATTTTACTTAGAAGAAAGGAATTTACTGCTGACAAGGTTTGAAAACTTCTCCCTTAAAAGAATAATATTGGCTGTGCATGGTGGCTCACACCTGTAATCCCAGCACTTTGGGAGGCCAAGGCGGGCGGATCACAAGGTCAAGAGATCGAGACCATCCTGGCCAACATGGTGAAACCCTGTCTCTACTACAAATACGAAAATTAGCTGTGCGTGGTGGCGCATGCCTGTAGTCCCAGCTATTTGGGAGGCTGAGGCAGGAGAATCACTTGAACCCGGGAGGCAGAGTTTGCAGTGAGCTGAGATTGCACCACTGCACTCCAGCCTGACGACAGAGTGAGAATCCATCAAAACAAAAAAAAAGAATAATATATTTGTTTTACCCTATAAAGTTGCTCCTGAACAATTCCTGACTTCTTGGTTAACTATCTGTCACCTATTCTAGTTTGCCTCTCAGATTAAAGGTAGGAATCGCTTCTTACATATCCTACTGGTACTATTTAACTACTTCCTTTCCTAAATTGATGGCTCCTACTAAGGAAAGATGCCTTTAATGTAACACAGAGTAGGATAGACTCCGCAGGGCACTTGGCCCTCTGCATTGTATCTCCCCATCTCAAGACGGAAGCCCAGAGGGAGCCTTCTCTCCCAGCCAGCTCCAAATTCACCTACTCATTACCCCTCCCAGTCAATGTTTGGCTTCTCCATTTTATAACCCAACCTCCTGCTAAGTTTCTGTAGCTTCTTAAAGGAGAGAAACTATTTTTTCCTCCATAGAGTCTAAAATCATAATACATATATAACAATTTTAAAAGAAAGCCCCAGAAAGAAGTCTACTGACATCCTGTTCAGTCTTATATTTCCACAAGTCAGAAAAGTCAGACTGCAGAACAAAGGGACTTAAGCACATGGGAGAGTGTGTCTTGATTTCACTTTGAAGAACTTTGTGCTAAGTCAAATCCATGCACTAAATAAAGGGTTACCAAGGAGTAGTTGTCCTTGATCTAAAATTTGTAAGTCTTTTCAATTATAAAAATCAATTTTATTTCCACTGAGTCTAGTATTTTAGTCATTATGTGAAAGCTATATATAATTATCCTTTGTGAATAAGGTGGGGTAAAAAGATTTTAAAATTTGGATCATACTTATAATTGGTTATTAATATGCACATAGGGAAAATCTTTATGCATGTGAAACTTTGTCAAAGACTTTCTGCAAGTATATTGAAGAGCCACAATATGACATTGGGTAAAGATGCAAATTAATTTTCAGGCATGTGGAGCCATTAAGAATGAGAATGAACATGCCATGAAGAATTAAAGGAAATTAAAAACACTTATGACTTTTTAATCTGTACAAACTATAACATTTTATCATCATAAAGCAACTAGTCTTCATAATATTTAAATGCTCACATAAGAATTAGAGAGAGTGAAATTCCCGAGAGTAACTATGCGTGGCTTTGCCATTTACAAAATACTTTTCTGATCAATCATTTCAGCTAGAGAATAATCCTTTGCCCAAGAAAGGTATCTCTGTCCTCAATTTACAATACCCAGAGACATTTAGTGATATGCCCAAGATCACATAGAAAGATAAAGAGAGAGAATGACAAGCTGGTCTTCTGACTTCCGCTACATCACACACACTATCCTGCAAGGCAGTCCACATAGCAATGTGCTTGTACCTGCACACTAGTATAAACACATGCTAATGCAGGCATACACCTGCTCTCCTTATACCTTACCCCTAAAATAACCAAGAAAAATGAAAATCCTATTTTTTAAAATAGCATTTGGATACTACATGTTCTCACCTATAAGTGGGAGCTAAGCATTGGATACACATGGACATAAAGACGGCAACAATAGAAACTGGGGACTACTAGAGGCCGGAGTACAGGAAAAGGGCAAGAGTTGAAAAACTATTGGGTACTATGCTCAGTACCTGGGTGATGGGATTATTTGTGCCCCAAACCTCAGCATAATGCAATGTATCCATGCAACAAACCTACACATGTACCCCTGAATCTAAAATAAAAGTTGAAATGATTTTTTAAATAAAGAAAAATTATAGGAAAGCACAAAGAAAAATGGTTTTGGAGAAGCTTTATTATATAAAACTATAAACTCACATAGCTAAACTTAATTTTATTATATATACATTTATAATAGTCTGCCAGGTATTGCTGCATTTTTACACACCTCAATTTCACTACTAGACCACAAACTCTTTGAGAGAAAGGACGATACTTTATATTAAAACATACTTTTGGACTCAGAGCATTTAACAAAATGCCTGGTATATAGTATACATATAATATGCGGGGTGAATTCAGGCATAACTATACCACAAATTTTAAGAATAAAACAAATTTAACTGTTTTTTGCAAAGTAGTCAACTGAAGCAAAGCCATTGTGTGAATCAACCAAGATAAGTTAGTGGCAGAGTCAGATCTAAACTCTAAAATCTAGACAACAATGAATTTTGAGACTTAGAAGCCATTTTATACGCTATTTTACCCGTCACCTTTGTTTTAGATAGATTTTGTTGGCCATGCAAAGAGGCTCACACCTGTAATGGCAGCATTTGAGAGCCAGGTGGGTGGATCACTTGAGGCCAGTAGTTCAAGACCAGCCTGACCAACATGGTGAAACCCCATCTCTACCAAAAAATACAAAAATTAGCCAGGTGTGGTGGCACAAGCCCATAGTCACAGCTACTCAGGAGACTGCGGTGGGAGAATCGCTTGAACCCAGGAGGCAGAGGTTGCAGTGAGCTGATATCATGCCACTGCACTCCAGCCTAGGCAGCAGAATGAGATCCTGTCTCAAAAAAAAATTTAAAAAGACAGCTTTATTGTGATTACCATGTCAAAGCCCTGAATCAATGTACATCATATATACACACAGACACACACACACACACACACACACACACACACTACTTATATTGAGCCACTGCTAGCTTCTTAATAAAAATGTTATCTATAAATGAGTGGAAGGATGCCATCAGCAAGTAGCCCGGTGACACCAGAAAGATGCTGATTTGTGTGGCTCAGGCGTCAGGCATTGACACCAAATGAGATTATCAATTGCTCCTCCAGCTCCTTCGAGTCCCCCCCACTGATATGAAAAGCAGGCAAGTCACATGACAGACCACTGACATCCACATCATACACCAGAAAGAACCATAATAACTTGCTGCCATTGAGACAAGAGTACATTGAGGTCTAACTTTTCCAGAAAGCCCCATCAGCTTCACTCACAGCTACTGTGGAGGAGAAACACTCCCTTACACTAAAAACCTCATTATAATTCCACTTATTTCATTTTCCTAGAATGACACTGGTAGGCATCTGGACTCAGATTCTGAGCCAGGCCAAAGAGTGAATGAATCAATGAGCATTCTATCCAGCAATAAAGGAATCGTATCCCTAGACTTTATGTTTAAATCCTGTTTATATTATATTCTGCAATTACATACAAACCCTATCGTTACCAGCTTTTTAATAGTTTGAAATTTCATTTAAAGACAATGAGTAGCTTGACTTTATTTCTGAGCACACAGCCATAACAGCCATTTCTATTTTTTAAATTCTCTATTGGAAGTTTCTAAAAAGTTCTTTGAGATTATTTTCAATGCTATATTGGATTGTGATTGATTTCTATTTTTATTTTATCCTGTCCTTCCACTTTTTAACTTACTAATGAAGAATCACTATAGCCTAAGTGCCTTACATGAAACCATACTCAGTATTTCTCACAAGCTCTCCTGACAAAAAGTTTGGCTGTCTCTATTTAAGTAATAAACTAGCAAAGAGGTGAAGGAACTAACAATATTAGCAAATTAATCCTTCTCAAACGCAAATGTGAACAAATGCCACTTCACTGCATACATTACCTCCTTATTAAAATTATGTCAAAGACGGTTTTGAAGACCATCCAAGATCTTTTCACAGAGTTCAGTTCAAGCAATTTGAACTGTAGTGTATAATTCCACTGCCTTTGTACTGTATGGCAATCGTGTACACTTTGTCTCGTGGACCTCACATAAGAAGATGTTTTGGAAGAACCACATTTTTCAGATATTTCCTACCAAGCTCAGCACATTGAAATAGACTGAATACAAGAGAGAATGAAACTAATTTAAAATTTTGGGAGAGAACTGCACATAAGCAATATAATTTAAGAGTTCTACTGAACATTTACAGACCTTCCCTTAATGCTGGATTTGTCTCTATTATACCTAAAAATTAATTTGTTAACAAAGATATATCCTATGCTATTCCCCAAAGACTTTTTTCTCCAAAAGGAAACTTCGAAATACAAGAAAGGAAAGTGTGACTATTCACTAATATGACAAATGGCAGAGTGGCATTCCAAACAAGCATAGCTATGATTAATGTATGTGCAAACATCCATTAAATAGAAAAATCTCTACAGTACCAAATAGAAATCCTGACCAAATCATGAGCTGTTATGACAAGTCCTCATTATTTTTACAACCCAGGAAACTGTTACCCAGTTGGAATCTCAGTGGTTTGGCCATGCCTGCTGGTGGCAAAATAAGGACAGATAATCCCTGAACAAAATATTTATACTATAATGAGCACCTTATCTAAAAATGACTTCTCTGAGCTCTGACAGCTTTATCTATATTACATAACCATGCAAATCACAGTTAGTTGGACTAAGGATGGATGCTTAATCCAATAGCATAAACATATTTCTTCAACTAAAAATTTGGTATTGGAATCAAGTAGCCAGTCAGCAACATGCAAATGTGGGGACTGTGGAGCACCTCAGAAAATGAGTCAGTGGGAGGATGGAGGAGCAGGGAAGAAGAGAAGGGAGGTAGTGGCTTTTCAGTTTTTCCAGCTCCTTTTCTGAGGCCCTGATGCATTCCTGATCTCGAGATATGTTTCTGTCTCCTTATAATAAATTCCCCTGTGTTGCTTACTTCTTGAGTTGACTTGTTATCTAAAACCCAGAATCCTAAGTAATGACACATCTATACATTAAGTTACTCTTATATTTTACTTACACTTTCATAGGTCTACAGCTTATCTCTTCATCCAAAGTATAAGGTCCCTGAGAGCAAAAACTATTCTCTATACTTGTTTGCAGTCATACACCACATACACAATACCTTGAATAGAGCAAGCAGACTTCAAATATTTGCTCACCCATTATGGCTCTATGTTGACATATTTTTTCATTTTTATTCAGAAATATTGTTGTTAATTGCATTATCATGAAAGTTTATAATTATGATCCATCGCGTGACCTACATACAAGCACACATGTTGTTTTGGTGGTGTTTTCTCAGTATTTGCAAACACAAGGAATTAACCTCCTGGCTCTGTTTTCCAACTTTTGGATAACAGATTGTGTTATGTGCTGTTCCTTGTATTACTTCTGCAACTTGTCCATGTTGAAAATGCAAATTAAGAAGACTGAAGAGCAGCCCATTAGATACACAGTTAAACAAGTTTCTCCGGGGAGGCAGTCAGAGCCACACACCCTGAGAAAACGGTGTATGTAACCAAGTCAGAAAAATTTCAACTAAGATACATGGTTTGTTGAAGAGCAGATGGTAGGAAAGAAAAGGGTTAGCTTTAGTAATCGTCCACCTTTCTTTCTTAAAAGGTCTTTCTAGCCTATAACCAAATTCCCTCCTTTCAGCATTGCCTCTCTGAGCCATTTGGGGTGGACCCCTGACAGCCATATGTGTATTATTTAACCCCAAAGTGACTAGGAGCAGATCTCTTTGCTTCTTCAGTTGAGGTCCTCATATTCATACCTTCCTATGCCCAGTAACGAGTCAATGTTCTCATGGTTTCCCCCGTGGATCACAGCAGCAGTGTCCCAGCAGTACTCTTTAAATTCATCCCATTTCTTTCCAATTCATTCTCCGTAATACTACCAGTTCTAAAGCCATCTGTTTCTACATCAGTCCTTTACTCAAGAATCAACATGTCTTTCAGAGGCCAAAACTGATCCCTTTACCCATTTGTCCTACTTCCCCACTACTGCTCATTTATCTATTCAATAATGTGTATCAAAGACCTGATAGGGGCAAGGCATTGTGCTAAGCACTAGGAACACTATGGGAAACACAGACAAGTAAACAGGTTGTAATGCTGTGGTGATAAGTCATATAATAGAGTTAATCATACAGTACTAAGATGGCACACAAAAGGCACACCAAATCCTGTCTGAACAGCAAGAAAAGGTTTCCTGGGCAAAATGATATCCAAAAGGCAAGTAGTTATTAGGAACATGGTGATGAGCAAGAAGAAATATGTGCATATGTGCATGGGCCGAGATGCAAGTGGCAGCAGGGGAGATGATGGAAAGTAGATGAAGATAGGTGGAATCAAGAAGACTTGGTAATGGATTGAATACGGGAGCTGAAGGGATGTGAGTGGTAAAGGGAGAGGGAGGTACCAAAAATGACTACCAGATACCTAGCATGAGAAGTCACATAGACAGGAGTGTCTTATAATTAAATGGAGAAAAGTGTTTGATAAGAAGATCATAAAGTCTAAAGAAAACTTGTGCTTAATATGGCTTCTTGGATATGGGTAAGAACATTTTCAAAGTTGAGTTCTTGTGGACAGATCAATATATTTATAGAAAGGATATACACGAAATAGTTAACAGTTGCTAGTTCAGTATGGCAGCCTTTTTATTTACCTATATTTTCTAAATGTTTGGTGTGAACACATAACACTTTATAACATAGCGATATTTTAAAGTATTATAAAGGATCTTAAAACATATGTATAAGCTATGATAGATGAAATAGGAGCATGAGACAAGATTGCAGCAAAATGTTACAATTTTTCTATGTTTCTGGGACAAATATGATCCTTATTTCTTCTTTTAAAAATAAAAGAATTGCATATTTGTAAAAATACAAATGACATAGCACCATCTGGTATTGAGAATGAACTTATCTGGTGAAGTGTGGTAAAGCAACATTTCAAGGCTCACAACCTCTACTCGCATGTTCCCTACAGTGTTAACTTTCTCCAAACGGGAGAAAGCAGTAGGCAAGACTGAGGCTCATGGCCCTCATCAATAACTCATCATAACTCATCAATAGTGCTGAGAAATTAAAGAAAAATTATTTTTCATAAAGATTATAAACTTAATTACTTGAATTTGAGCCTTACTTCTGCCCTAGGTCTTCTGACTCATATAAGTTATTTTACCATTAGAGTCCTGCAGGGGTTTTTTAATTTATTCATTATTTTTTACCTTCAACTCAAAGAGCTTGAGATGACTACAGACCTCTAGCTCCCCTTTAAAACTGAGGAAAATGCCTTACACTTACCTTATAATATTCAGCATTTGGAAAACTAAGTAATGTTGTTAAAAAGTCATTATCAGATAATAGGGATGAGGAAGAGATAACAACCATCTGCTGATGAACCAGTTTGGCATCCATAGCAAAAACTGCTCACCTGCTCACCAAACAGCCTTCATATTCTTCCTGGCTGCAGGACTATCCTGCGTTTAGTTATATGGCTATTTTGATGAGAATGGTGGTATTGGAGATGGAGAAAACTGATGGACTTGTTAGACAAAATCACTGAGGCTCTGTGGCAGATTGAGTATGAGGAGCCAGGAGACAGGGAAGTATCAAAAACAACTACAAGATGTCTAGCATGAGCTGCATGGACAGGGTGTCATAAGGACATAGAGAAAAGTACTAGACTGATAAGGGGATCATAACATCTAAAGAAAAATTTTGGTCAATATGACATCTTGTGATGGGTGAAAACAATGGAATGTGAATAGAAATTGTGTTTGTCATTTACTTCCCTGCTTCATAAAAATCTCCCATGTGCCATCCCTCATTCTCTTTCTCCACTCACTGGCTAAAATAAATGCAGCTGATTAGAACACCTTGTATCAGAGTCATAAAATGAAAAGAGACTGACTTCCTGAATGACTACATGGAAAGTGGACTACTTTCCTATCACTGCTATAACAAATGATCACAAACCCAATGGTTTCAAACAAGGTAATTTATTATCTTACAGTTCTGGGGATCAGAAGTCCTAAAATCATGTTGGTAAGACTGTTTCTTCTGGAGCCTTAAAGGGACAATCTGTTTCCTTGCCTTTTCTAGCTTCTAGAGGCCAGTGTCATTCCTTAGCTCATGGCCCCATCCTACACCAGCAGTGCCACATTTTCCAGTCTCTCTCTCTGTCCCTCTGCTTCTGTCATGGCCTGCCTCTGTGTCTCTACTACCTCCCTCTTTCTCTTTTCAGAGCCCTTATGATTAGATTGGGCCCACCCAGATAATTCGGGATAATCTTCCCATCTTGATATCCTTAACTTAATAACATCTGCAAAGTCTCTTTTGCAATGTAAGGTAACCTATTCACAGGTTCTAGGAATTAGGATGTCTTTGTGGAGAAGGTCATTATTCTGCCTACCACAGAAGGTATTTTGGATTTCACATGAGTGAGAAAAACTTCTGACTGTGTTCATTCATTAACTTCATGAGGCTTGTCTCTTACTAGCTGATATGACTAAGCAATAGTATCTAAAATACAGTAAACCATAAAACAGTAAACATCTGTCCCCAGCTGAATTGTAGTTTAGACAGCAACCACCTCTTACTCCACTTTGTTACTAACAAATTGTCCTCCACATAATAACATGTAATGATACTCCAGCAATGTTTACTAATGATAAGGGCATCATGGTAGGATAGCTAGAAATAGCCTAGGGGTCATTTAAAATCTTATTTAGCAAACAGCTTCAACCTTTTCCAATATTAAAACTTTAATTAGAACTTTCAATACCTAAGGAAAATTTTGCTCATTTATTAATACATCTTACCTTTTTTTGCCTGAATTATTTAAGATAAAGATGCTGCCAAGAAATGAAGTGCCACAAAAAGAAGAAAAGACATAAGAAGATACTGGTGAGACCAATAACTCATGGATAAAGTTTAAATAATCATATATTTAAAGTTCATTTTTCTTCATTTCATGAAATGTGGGGCTTGGAATTATTACCCAAAGGTCAAGTTGACCTCAGTGTCCATGGATTTTACTTTCTGTAAACTTTCTATTGCAATTATGATTGGGTTATCTTCAAACATTGTTTTTATCAGAAGAAAACTAAAAGATGAAGATGATTAATGTTCCCCCTAGATATTCATCACCAACAATCTCCTTATTACTCTAATGACTGTTCACTAGAAAAATATTTTAATGCACTTTCATGTTTTCATGTTTTCCAATTTAGAAAAATAATCAGACTTTAATGTGAATGCATTTTTAACATTTTTCCATGCTTTAGGGATGCCGCTTTTAGGAGGCAAATGTAATGAATGTTTTTAATCACACAAAAGAGGTTTTCCCAGAATCTGTGGTTTAATTCAACTTTTCAGTGACAACAAAATAAAAAAGACTAAATGCATCTATCAGCTAGGACTCCTCCCTTCTCAACATGGCTACCTATTGTTTAAATATATTTGAGAGATAAAATTCATTTAGGGAGACAGGAACAAAAATAAGCTTGCCAGGTTAATTTTCACAAATTTTCCCACACAGATCTATACAGATCGTTGCCATTCTTCTGAGAACTCCTGACCCCATCCCTCCAAGACGGTTCTCATCCTCAAAACACACTTCACCATATCCCACAGTTACATCCCCTTCCCCTTTCTCTAGTTTGTTCTCATGTGCCCTTCAGGTTTTCAATGTATTCTTAATGTCATCAGTGAAAATGTCACTACTGAAGAGATTTAAATGCCATTTGTCTATGCAGGCCTTTAACTTCAACATAAACAACCTGTTTTCCATAAGTTTATCCTCAGATTTAAACTGAACAGAAATCAAAGAATTATTTTTGTCCCATTTTTCTTTTCTTTGATTTAACTCATAGTCTCAGAGAGGATGCTCCAACTGCCTCACCATCTCCACATCACCTCACTACCTACTCAAGTGTCATAACCAAACCTCAGTAATATTCTAATAATGTCGTTCTCTGTCCTAGTTTAGAAGATAGCAAATAACAAGGGCAGGCAGATTTAAAGACTGGAATAAGGCATGTGATAAAGGCTTCTGCACACAATAAAGAATTGATCTGCAGATGTTGACTGGTTCTTGAGAAAGAAAGAGTTGATGCAGAAAATAAATCATCTGAGGGAAGGGTTTTCTCCCCCTAACCAAGATATTGTATAATGTCTCAACTGATATCCATAACCTTAATGAAGTTACCACGAAATGAAATATTTAATCATGTTTGTATATTCTACCATTAAACATGCTTCATGGACACACGTGAGCAATTATATAATATCACACTTCCAAGTTTTCCATTTTTAAAAAAACTCATAGACAATTAAAAACTACTCTTCAGATCACCTATTTTGTCAATGCACCTGTTAACTTCCTTCTCGCAAGAACTACTCCCAAGGATGTAGGACAATAGACTTTATTCTAAGGACTTCAGAATTCTTCACTAAAAGGCGTGATTAAGGACTAAAACTATTACTATCCAAACTAATTAGAGGGAGTTATGGTCTAATTTAGTTCTATGATATGAAGCTATTCTGAGTTGATTTTGTTGGAAACACAAATTCTATTATATTCTAAATTCAATTGCACAATTCCACAGCAAAGAATTGGGTAATCCATATAGCTCTTCGATTTTCTTGTGAAGATTCAAAGTTTTGCTTATTTTGAGTTATGAAATGTGAATTATTTCAGTGAATCAACCTCTAATTTCAAGGAGATTTGAGGAACAACTCTTTAATTAATCTTTATCATGCTTGCTTAAACTTTGCCAGCCATCTCTCTCCCGAAAGTAAATTAAAGTGAGAGGAGAAAGAATCTGAATGACCTGCCATAACACAGCTGGCTACTTGACAGATAAGTCTTTATAAGACCTATCATCCTGAAGAATGACATAATTTTGGTTTCAAGCACTATGCGTGCTCAGAAAAAGTTACAAGGCAGTGCAATAAGAAGTCAGAGTAATAATTTGTGTGTGTGTGAATAGACTGCATAGGTAAATATTTACATCTGATAAGTAATGAATACTCATTATTATTCATATTTAATAGTTTTCATGCCTTAAAAATATTTCTTTACCCAATCAGATATTCAGCTTCTCTGTAATTTTTAACTATTACCAACACAGAGCATATTAACTTTTACTACCATTTTATATTTTTTCATTATTATTATGTTTTCAGCTACCATTCACAATGCAACCACCTAAAAACCAAGCCTTACCAGTTCCAGTAAATGTCAGTTTAAAAAGGAAAAAAAAAAAGATTCAAAGTTTTGCTTATTCTGAGTTATTAAATGTGAATTATTTCAGTGAATCAACTTCTAATTTCAAGGAAATTTGAGGAACAACTCTTAATTAGTCTTTATCATGCTTGCTTTTTCTTTTCTTTTAGCCACCAGAAAACACTGGGAACAGAAAAAGACACAAAGTAAATAGATTGGTAAATATTTCTTTTTTTTATTTTATTTTTTTGAGACAGAGTCTCGCTCCGTCGCCCAGGCTGGAGCGCAGTGGCGCGATCTCGGCTCACTGCAAGCTCCAAGATTGGCAAATATTTCTATTCTACGACTCATAGAAGTAGCTGCCATCATGTATTCCCAGATACAGTGCAAAGTACTTTACATGTCTTATCTGATTTAATTCTTTTAAAAACTCTCTAAAAATGTTCTGTGATCAATGAGGAAACTGAGGCTTAGAAAGGAAAAGAAACTTGTCCAAGTCTCAAAGCTAGAGACTGACCTATAGTTTAAGTCCTGATTTGTCAGGACAAAATGCTTAATTCCTATTACATGTTGCCTGTATATGCAGACATAGGACCCACTGCAAATTGGCATGTGATACCTGCTCATGTGCTATGGCAGAAATACTAAGATGCCTAACTATGATTTGTGCCACCCTCCCATAGCATGATATTGATGTAGATACATAATATTGATGTAGGGTATTGTCCAATCCCCCTTACATGTAGGAGCGGCTATGATATAGATAGGTTGTTACCAAGAAAATGTGCCCAAAACTAATTTGCTACTTTCAGGCCTGTCCTATAAAAACTTCCCAGAAACTCTTCCATGTTCACCAGCCATCCCATTTGATGTCAACTGGAGTTGCCAGATAAAATGCAGAGCACAAATTTAAATTTGAATTTCAAAAAACTAAATTATGTTTTAGTGTAAATATATTCCATGCAGTATTTGAGACATATATTTACCAGGAGCACTGACAGTCAAGTTGCCAGATTAGCATATAAAAAGCATCAAAAATGTAAATGTCCCAAATATTTCATGGGATATACTTGTACTAAAAAGTTTTCTGTTGTTTATGTAAAACTCAAATTTAGCTGTGTGTCTAGTGTTTGTATTTGCTAAATCTGGCCGCCCAAATAGCAACACCTCTAGTTACACTGGCAGCAGCCACATGCTGAAGGCAGTAGAGCGACCATCAGCACAGATCTGATGACTGCAGCCAAGGGTACCCCGCCTTTGAGCTTTACATTAGGGAGAAATAAAGTTGTACTGTGGTAAGCCTCTTAGGCGTGTGTGCTGATTAATATAATACAAACAATACTAGTGTGACAATATTAATAAAAGTGCCAAGAGTTTATCATTCAAGTCTTAAAGGGAAGCAGCATGGAGAGTATAAATCGTTTAAATGTGGAGTCATGCCAGCATGTCCTGGGTTCCAATTTCTGCTGTATCACCTCCTAGTTTTGTGGCTCTAATTTCTCTAGCTTTGATTTCTTTACCCATAAAATAATGAAGTCAATGCTTTCTTGAAAAGATATCTTTAAAAAATAAATAACAAATGCAAAAGAAACCTAGAATATTTAGCATATAAATGCATAATATACTAATACTATTACTGATTTTTATCATTAAAAAGAATAGGCTATTTTCCCATTTTTATGTTTATTGAGCTGCAAAGTGATGAATTTATGCCTTTTTAATGAGAGTTCATTTTATTGTTCATAATTAAGTCCATACGGCTCACTTTTATAATTAGCTATTTTTTATCTCACTGTCTTTGAACTCGGTAATTGACTTTGCCAGCAGATTTTTAAGCTGAGATCAGTCTTTTCCCTGAGTTTTCCAATCAGACTAGCACTGCTGTTTTGACTCATGGACCTCAGTGCAAGGCCAGTAGGCACTCTGGATGGTCTGAAATCTGCCTTTCCTCCTCGTTGCTGAGCACATCTCAAATTGATCAGCTCAACAGGTAGAATTCAAAAGTGTCTCTCATTTGAAATTAGACAACCACCAAATCACCCTATTACAATTAAAACTGAGAATGCTCAACACCATAAAGCCCAAGACTGAGGCACAGTACTCCAATATGCACATTCCCATGCGTTCAGAACCTAACTGCTTCCAAGCACAAAATGTTTGGCCCTTTCTGGCTTAGACAACTTGCTTTATAGGAAGAAAATTGAAGCCTAACTTGAAATACTTTTTTTAAATGGTATTTGTTGAAACATTTTCATCAAATTTGTTAAGTCTTGAGGTGCTCAAAATTAAGCTATGTTTTCAGTGTCAATCTATTCTCATAAATCTCTTCTCAAAGAGAAAACCAAAAATGAAAGTGAATCTCTGATCTCTTACTGATTTGGAATAAATCACTTTGTGTCACTTTCTAACCTTGGCTACAAACCACAAAAATAGACCATTTAAGAACGGGACTCTTGACCTGAGATATGCAAACTTCCTTAAGTTGTAGACAAAACTCTGCATTTGTGCATAAATATGCTTTTCTCAGATTCCAAAAGGGATTCAGAGGCCTATACAGGTGTTCCACAGGGTTTCTGTCATTAAAAGCAACAATGGCAAGGTTTTTTGGGGGAAAAAGTCCATAAATAACCAACATTTTCCCCTTTAAAATAACATTTTGAAAGCCCTCAGTTATGAACAGAGTAATTTTAACTACTAGTAGTGCAGATCCAAAGAGCATACCCATAACCCAGGGTGCCACATGGCTGGGCACACTAGCTGCCAGAGGGCATGTGGTCACAAAACAGTTATACAGTACTTTTTTTAGCCATTTGCTGCTTAATTTACACCCAAAATGGACTATTGGTTAAACTCAGGACATTTAAAGAGCATGCCATTAATACCCAATTTAAAGAGGCACTGAAAGTGACAGTAATTCTTAAACATCACCTCAAGATGTTCTTTTCCAGAATTCTAAATTGTATTCATCTGATAAAAATTCTTATATAGCACCTCAAGACATATTCAATACCTTAAAAATAAAGTTAAGAAGATGAAATTGCCTGGCAATTATGTTAAATTTCTCTTTTAATTCATTGAAAATAATACTTAACCACACCTGTAAGATGTTACAGAAAAGTGCTTACAAAATAGCAAGAATAAAATTTTTTGTATCTCATCACAGGGAACCAAAACACAAAAAGATACAAAATAAAGCAGCTGCTTTTTATTTAAAGTGTAAAATGCAAGAATCGCAAACATCAATTTTTTTTAATGTTCTTCTACTTTTGATGTCAGCAAAGAATTAAAATGTAATCTCCTTCCTTCCTGCTATCTAGAGGCCATGTGAGGAGGATTCTGAGACAGGCATCAAGTCAGGGGAGGTGGTGGCTGAGTAATGGTGGTGTCAGAGCCTGAATGAGCTCCCACTGATCAAGTCTATGAC
This sequence comes from Homo sapiens, assembly GCF_000001405.40. NCBI lineage: Eukaryota > Metazoa > Chordata > Mammalia > Primates > Hominidae > Homo > Homo sapiens. The sequence goes on from NC_000014.9 coordinate 38,911,324, forward strand.
AATCTGAACATCAAACTAAATGATAATAAGGGGAAGTGGCTAAGATGGCCAACTAGATGCAGCTTAGGTGTATGGCTCTCAAGGAGAGGAACAAATGGGGTGAGTAAATATGGCACCTTCAACAGAAACATTCAGGTACTCGCACTAGTACTAGTCAAGGAAACAACTCAAACCATGGAGAAGACCTCCAGCCACCCTCACTAGTGTTCTCTGGCAGACAGATTTGAAAGCTCCCTAGAACAGAGCTCCCAGAGGAAGGGGCAGGCTTCCATCTTTGCTGTTTGGATGACTTAGCAGTTCCAGGCTTTGGGCTTTGGAGAGCCCAAGCCAACTGGGGCAGGAGTGGTACCCCAGCACAACACAGCTACTCTAAGAAAGCATGGCCAGACTGCATCTTTAAGTGGGTCCCTGATCCTGTTTCTCCTCACTGAACGGAACCTCCCAATTGGGGCCTCCAGCCACCTCCACCAGTGTTCTCTGGCCTACAGAAATTAGAAAACTACCTGGGACAAAGTTCCAAGGAGCAGGGGCAGGCCACCATCTTTGTGGTTTGGGCAACTTAGCAGTTCCAGCTTTCGGGCTTTGGAGAGCCCAAGCTGACCAGAGGTGGAAGCAGTACCCCAGCACAGCACAGCAGCCCAAACAAAACTGTGGCCAGACTGCTTTCTAAGTGGCTGCCTGACCCCATTCCTCATCACTGGGTGGGGCCACCCAACCAGGGTCTCTAGCTATACCCACCAGTGTTCTCTGGCTGACAGAGGCTTCAGGCCTCCCTGGGATGGAACTCTCAGGAGGAGAAGCAAGCTGTTGTTCAGGCAACTTAGCCATTTAGACAACTTAGCTGTTTAGGCAACTTAGCCGTTCCAGCATTTGGACTTCAGAGTACTTGAGGTGACCAGGGGCTAAAGTGGCTTCCCAGTACAGCAAAGCTGCTCTACAAAAACATGACCAGACCACTTTTTTAAGTGAGTCACTGATCCTGTTCCTTCTGACTGGCTGAGACCTCTCATCCGGGGTCTCCAGCCACCTCTTACAGGTGTGTTTGAGCCAGCAGGAGGTCCGTACATCCTTTGGATGCAGCTCCCATAGGAAAGGGCAGGCCGCCATCTTTGCTGTTTTGCAGCCTTCACTGGTGATACCTCCAGGTACTGGAAAATCCAAGGCAAGTAGGGACTGGAGCAGACCCCCAGCATTCCACAGCAGCTCTATGGAAAAGTGGCCAAGTTGTTAAAAGAAAAAAAGAAATCCAAAGATCAGCAAACTCAAAGACTGAAAATAGATAAGCCCACAAAGATGAGAAAGAATCAGCACAAGAACACTGAAAACTCAAAAAGCCAGAGTGCCCTCTTTTTCCAAATGACCGCATCACCTCTCCAGCAAGCGTTCAGAACTGGGATGAGGCTGAGATGGCTGAAACAATAGAAGCAGAATTCAGAATATGGGTAGGAAGGAAGTTCACTAAGCTAAAGGAGTACATTGTAACCCAATGCAACGAAGCCAAAAATCATGATAAAACATTGCAGGAGTTGACAGACAAAATAGCCAGTATAGAGAAGAATGTAACTAACCTGATAGAGCTGAAAAACACAATAAAACAATTTCTTAATGCAATCACAAGGATTAATAGCAGAATAGACCAAGTGGAGGAAAGAATTTCAGAGCTTGAAGACTGTGTTTCTGAAATAAGACAGGCAGACAAGACCAGAGAAAAAAGAATGAAACAGAATGAACAAAACCTCCAAGAAATATGGGATTTTGTAAAGAGACCAAATCTACAACTGATCAGTGAACCTGAAAGAGATGGGGAGAATGGAACCAATTTGGAAAACATAATTCAGGATATTATCCATGAGAATTTCCCCAACCTAGCTAGAGAGGCCAACATTCAAATTCAGAAAATGCATAGAACCCCAGTAAGATACCCCATGAGAAGCTCATCCCCAAGACACATAATCTTCAGATTCTCCAAGGTTGAAATGAAGGAGAAAATGTTAAAGGCAACTAGAGAGAAAGGCCAGATCACCTACAAAGGGAAGCCCATCAGACTAACAGTGGACCTCTCAGATGAAACCCACAAGACAGAAGAGATTAGGGGCTAATCTTCAACATTTTAAAAGAAAAGAAATTCCAACCTGGAATTTTATATCAAGCCAAACTAAGCATCATAAGCGAAGGAGAAATAAGATCCTTTTCAGACAAGCAAATGATGAGGGAATTTTTTTTACCACCAGACCTGCCTTACAAGAGCTCCTGAAGGAAGCACTAAATATAGAAAGGAAAGATTATTACCAGCCACTACAAAAACATACTGAAATACACAGACCAGTGACACTATAAAGTAACCACGTAAGTCTTCAAAATGACCAGTTAACATCATGACAGGATCAAATCCACACATATCAATACTGACCTTAAATGTAAATAGGCTAAGTGCCCCAATTAAAAGACACAGAGTGGCAAGCTGGATAAAGACCCATAGGTACGCTGTCTTCAAGAGACCCATCTTACATGCAATGAGACACAGAGGCTCAAAATAAAGGGATGGAGAAAAATCTACCAAGCAAATGGAAAACAGAATAAAAGGAGGGGTTGCAATCCTAGTTTCTGACAAAACAGACTTTAAACCAGCAAAGACCATAAAGGACAAGGAAGGACATTACATAATGGTAAAGGGTTCAATTCAACGAGAGGAAACAACTATCCTAAATATACATGCACCCAACACAGGAGCACCCAGATCTATAAAGCAAGTTATTAGAGACCTTCAAAGAGACTTAGACTCCTACAAAATAATAGTGGGAGACTTTAACACTCCACTGACAATATTAGACAGCTCACTGAGACAGAAAATTAACAAAGATATTCAAGACCTGAACTCAGCACTGAAGCAAATGGACCTGATAGATGTATATGGAACCCTCACCAAAAACAGAATCTACATTCTTCTTGATGCCACATGGCATTTACTCCAAAATTGATCACATAATTGGAAGTAAAACACTCCTCAACAAATAAATGCAAAAGAACTGAAATTCATAATAAACAGTCTCTCAGACCACAACACAATCAAATTAGAACTCAGGATTAAGAAATTCACAGCCAGGCACAGTGGCGTGAGCATAATTCCAGCACTTTGGGAGGCCAAGGTAGGCAGATCACCTGAGGTCAGAAGTTCAAGACCAGCCTGGCCAACATGGCAAAACCCCATCTCTACTAAAAATACAAAAATAGCCAGGTGTAGTGGTGGGCATCTGTAATCCCAGCTGCTTGGGAGGCTGAGGCAGACAGAACTGCTTGAACCCAGGAGGAGGATGTTGCAGTGAGCTGAGATTAAGCCATTGTACTTTAAGCTGCATGACAGAGCAAGACTCCATCTCAAAAAAAAGAAAAGAAAGAAAGAAATTAATTCACTGAAAACCACACAGCTACATGGAAATTGAACAACCTGCTCCTGAAGGACTTCTGGGTAAACAATGAAATGAAGGCAGAAATCAAGAAGTTCTTTGAAACTAACAAGAACAAAGATACAATGTACCAGAATATCTGGGACACAGCTAAGGCAGTATTAAGAGGGAAATTTATAGTGCTAAATGCCCACATCAAAAAGTTAGAAAGATCTCAAGTTAACAACCTAACATCACCACTAAAAGAACTAGAGAACCAAGGCCAAGCAAATCCCAAAGCCAGCAGAAGAGAAGCAATAACCAGAATCAGAGCTGAACTGAAGGAGATAGAGACATGAAAAACTATTCAAAAGATCAATGAATCCAGGAGCTAGTTTTTGGAAAAAATTAATAAAATAGATAGACCACTAGTTAAACTAATAAAGAAGAAAAGAGAGAAGATTCAAATAAACACAGTCAGAAATGACAAAGAGGATATTACCACTGAACTCACAGAAATACAAACAACCATCAGAGAATATTATGGACACCTCTATGCACATAAACTTGAAAATATAGAAGAAATGAATAAATTCATGGACACACACACCCTTCCTAGAAAAAAGGGATAAATTCCCGGACACACATACCCTCCCAAGACTGAACCAAGAAGAAATTGAATCCCTGAGTAGACCAATAACAAGTTCTGAAATTGAGGTGGTAATAAATAGCCTACCAATCAAAAAAAGCCCAGGTCCAGACAAGTTCACAGCTGAATTCTAGCAGATGTACAAAGAAGAGCTGATACAAAGGCTAGACACAGTGGCCCACACCTGTAATCCCAGCATTTTGGGAAACCAAGGTGGACAGATCACTTGAGCTCAGGAGTTTGTGACCATCCTGGGCAACATGGCAAAACCCCATCTCTACAAATAATACAAAAAATTAGTAGAGCATGGTTGTGTATGCCTATAGTCTCAACTACTTGGGGGGGCCAGGCAGGAGTTTGTGACCAGACTGGTTGACAAAGTGAGACACTGTCTCAAAAAAAAAAAAAAAGAAGAAGAAGAAGAAGAAAGAAAAAGAAGAGCTGGTACCATTTCCATACATCTTCTGAAGTCTAGGCAGGGGGTCTCAAACCTCAGTTCTTGACTTCTGGGCACCCACAGGCTCAAGACCACATGGAAGCTACCAAGGCTTGGTGCTTCCACCCTTTGAAGCAACAGCCCAAGCTGTACCATGGCCCCTTTTAGTCAGGGCTGGAGTGGCTGGGACACAGGGCACCAAGTCCCTAGACTGCACACAGCACAGGGACCATGGGGCTGGCCCACGAGAGCATTTTCTCCTAGGCCTCTGGGCCTGTAATGGGAGGGGCCGCCATGAAGACCTCTGATATGCCTTGGAGACATTTTTCCCATTGTCTTGGGGATTAACATTTGGCTCCTCATTACTTATGCAAATTTCTACAGCCAGCTTCAATTTCTCCTCAGGAAACCGGTTTTCTTTTTCTATCAAATTATCAGGTTGCAAATTTCCCGAATTTTTATGCTCTGCTTCCCTTATAAAACTGAATGCCTTTAACAGCACACAAGTCACCTCTTGAATGCTTTGCTGCTTAGAAATTTCTTCAGTCAGATACCCTAAATCATCTCTCTCAAGTTCAAAGTTCCACAGATTTCTTGGGCAGGGGCAAAATACCACCAGTCTCTTTGCCAAAACATAACAAGAGTCACCTTTGTTCCAGTTCCCAACAAGTTCCTCATCTCTATCTGAAACAGCCTCGGCCAAGACCTTATTGTCCATATTGCTATCAGGCTTTTGGTCAAAGCCATTCAACAAGTCTCTAAGAAGTTCCAAACCTTCCCACATTTTCCTGTCTTTTTCTGAGCCCTCCAAACCATTCCAGCCTCTGCCTGTTACCGAGTTCCAAAGTCACTTCCACATTTTCAGGTATCTTTTCAGCAGCACACCACTCTACTGCTACCAATTTACTCTATTAGTCCATTTTCTTGCTGCTGATAAAGACATACACAAGACTGGGCAATTTACAAAAGAAAGAGGTTTATTGGACTTACAGTTCCACATAGCTGGGGAGGCTTCACAATTATGGCAGAAGGCAAGGAGCAGCAAATCACATCTTACATGGATGGCAGCAGGCAAAAAAAAAAAAATGACCCTGTTCAGGAAAATTCCTGTTTTTAAAACTGTCAAATCTCGTAAGACCCATCACTATCATGAGAACAGTATGGGAAATACCCACCCCCATGATTTGATTATCTCCCACTGGGTCCCTCCCACAATACATGGGAATTATAGGAGCTATAAGATGAGATTTGGGTGGAGGCACAGAGACAAACCATATCACATGGAATCAACCTATATGTCCACCAACAGTAGACTGGATGAAGAAAATGTGATCAATATACACCATGGAATACTATGCAGTAATAAAAAAGAAAGAGATATGTCCTTTGCAAGAACACAGATGGAACTGGAGGCCACTATCCTTAGCAAACTAATACAGGAACAGAAAACCAAATACTGCCTGTTCTCATTTATAAGTGGGAGCTAAATGATGAGAACACATGGACACACAGAGAGGAACAACACACACTGGGGCCTTTCAGAGGCTGGAGGGTGGGAGAAGGAAGACAATCAGGAAAAATAACTAATAATTAAATAACTAATGGGTATTAGGCTTAAGATCTGGGTGACAAAATCTGTACAACAAACTCCCATGACACAAGTTTACCTATGTAACAAACCTGCATTTATACCCCTGGACTTAAAATAAAACTTTTAAAAAATAAACAAATGATAATAGCAGATTATAGCCCATTAAATAAACTAGGAATTCATGAGTTCAAATTACATAAACAAACAAATAATTATTCCTTACATAAGAATGCTAATTACTGTATGCAGAAGGAAAGGTAGAATTGGAAGGTCATTATTTGGCAACTATTATAGTAGTAGTTGATTGAAGAAGAAAGCATCAAATGATGCTGAATCTGAGTGAAGGTTTGATGACAACCAACATGGTCTCAAATTATCTCCCCACAAAGTGCTGTTAACTGCAAAGGGGAGATGAGTTACTTTGCAGTCATAAATGTTGTATCACTGGGCACAGTGGCTCATGCTTATAATCCTAGCATGTGGGAAGCTGAGGTAGGCTATTTTCTTTTAGTAATTTCATGGCTTGTGGTCTTAGATTTAAGTCTTTAATCAATTTTAATTTGACTTTTGTATATGGCAAGAGATAGGGGTCTAGTTTCATTCTTCTGCCTATGGATATCCAGTTTTCCAAGCCCCACTTATTGAAGAGACTGCCTTTTCTCCAACATATATTCTCGGTACCTTTGTTGAAAACAAGTTTACTGTAGATGTATGAGTTTGTTTCTGGGTTCTCTATTGTGTTTCATTAGTCTATGTGTCTGTTTTTATGCCAGTACTATGCTGTTTTGGTTACTGTAGCCCTGTAGTATAATGTAAATGACAAGTTAACCAGTGCAGCACACCAACATGGCACATGTATACATATGTAACAAACCTGCACATTGTGCACATGTACCCTAGAACTTAAAGTATAACAAAAAAAAAGAAAAGAAAAGAAAGGAACAGAGGAAAAGGAGGAAGGAAGGAAGGAAGAAAGGAAGGAAGGAAAAGAGGGAGGGAGGGAGGTTGTATTAAAATGAGAAAATTGATTAGTTCACAAATTATGCATTAAAAGGCCCACAGTTTACTAGATCTATAAATTCCTCAGAACCCCTAAATACATTGGCTTTTTAGAATAAGTGTTAAATACACACACACACACGAACACACACAACCCACAATACAACTGATGTGGCCTTGTGGAAGGAATACGTAAAGCTATTTGCATTATAGTGCTAATTTAGCTTTTCTTTACATTGAACCTTAATAACCAGAATCTGCTTCTTTGTAACTTCTGTCCATTTATCCAGTTTCCACCCAAGGAGAGAGAGCAAGTCTCATTGCTCAACTATTCTAAATCTGCCACCACGATCCCCTAAATCTTTTCCAGGCTGAACACTCCAGATTTCTTCTACTCTTCCTTAACTGATAGGACTTTAGTTCTCTTGGCTGCTTTTCTCTGAAGTATCCCATTTTGTCTGAGACAGTACTGTGACGGTACTATGATACCTCTGAAACAATAGTATGGTACCAGTGTCTGAGCAGAATGGACTGGCACTCACAAAACCAGATATTGTATTTTCAGTAGTGCACCCAAGGGTGATACTATTATTTATTTCTTTTATGGAATTTCCAGCTGGAGATGCAGTCTGGCATGTGCTATGAAAACAATCACCAATTTCTGCACTTGATTAGTCTGCCCGTCGCCTCAGCCATTGTCAGCCACATTGCGTTATTCGAAAATGCATTGCAATGTATTTAGAGTTATGAAGTCTTAGAGTTTGTACTTGATTCTGTAAATAAATTATTATTATGGCTATTAAAACTTTTTAAAAGCAAATTCTCCTCACCTGCTCTTCTTTTCCCAAATTAATGAGCTTTCCTGGAGATGTTTAATCTCAGAAGTTCATCCTACAGTATGCAAGATTAGTCACTGCAAGGTAATGTTACATTTCATATCTGAGGTCAGAATAGTATTATTTGGAGCTGTTGCAAAATTTAGAAGATGAACTGATTTAGTATTATTTTTAAGATTAGAATCAAACAGAAAAATCTTTGCTTCGGACTGAATTAAGAAACAATATACAAACTAGCAATATGACAACATCAAACCAATGTATCACTATATCATTTTAATTATGTAAGAAATAAAACAGCTAATGTTTGTTTACTGTTTCATATGTGCCAGGGATAATTCTAAATGCATTATGTCTATCATCTCATTTAATCCTTAGAATATGGATGAGGAAATGAAAGCCCAGAAAAGTTGCCATGTCACACAGCTAGTGGGTAACAGAATCAAGATTTGAAACCAAACTGTCAATGTTGAACCCATACCACCTCGTGGTTCTCATTAGCTGCAGTCAAAGACACTCTGGCTGGAAAATCCAGGGGCAGTGAGGACATGGAGTGTGTGGAAGCAGGCTTCCTGTGCTACTGGCAGGACTGTCAGCTAGTACAAGCTTTCCAAGGGAAATCTGGCATTCTGTTTCAAAAGCCTTACCATTTATTCTGCAGAAATTGAACAAGTGTCAAAATATGTCTTCTGTAAGGTCAACTGAGGAAATGTAAACAATAACAAAAAAATTAAAATGACCTACTGTTCAACACAGGTGATTTGGTAAATAAACGGTGATACATCATAGAATGAGGTTATTGCACAGCCATTAAAATTATGATTTAGCTGTGTAAAGACAAAAAAGGTATAGACACAGCTCAGTGAAAATTCATGTATAAAACAGAATCTAAAATGTGTTATTGTTTATAAAAATGTACACATAACATTTATATATATATACTCATTTTTAAAAGCTCAGAAGTATGTAGACTAAAATGAAATCAAAAACGTATTTCTGCATAGTTATATTAACAGTTGTTTTTCCATTGTAATTACCTGTATTTTTTCACTTGTCTACATTAAGCATGTATTATTTTAGAGAAAAATACAAGTTTAATTCCTATTTTTAATGATAGATTTAAAAATAATGACTAATAAGATACATACTATCTATTAAATAAGAAAAGAATAATTCGAAACAGAATAACGTGATCTCATCTTTGTAAAATCTGTACAGTTTATTTTAATAGTATAGTATATTATAAAAGTACACTTTTTGTATTTAAATATATTACATTATAAAAATGCTGGTAAGTTCATCCTTATCTCCAAATAGTAAAGGATGGATTTTATTTTACTTCATTTTGCTTATCTATATTTTTTATTGTATACTGCTTTTATAATTAAAATGTGTTAATTTTAAATAATCTATTATTAGTAATGAATATTGATGAGTTGTATAAAAAAGAGAGTTCAAAAATTACATAACCACAGCAAAAAAAAAGTACTAGCATTCAAAATGGCTTAAAGAAATATAAGTTGTTAATTCTCACCAGCACTCAGAGACTTGTCCACCACAGTTCCCAGGGAAGATTAAAATTAAAGCACTTAACATAACTTCAAAATATGAGGATCCCAGCAAGCAACCCTGAAATGCTCTTAGTATAGCAGACACAGGGAAAGCCATCAATGTGTTTCTTTCTGGAAGGTTTATTTTAATGACAAATGGAAACATTATAACTTACATTGTATCTTTCTTATCGTGTGAAAGGAATTAATACAATAATAGCCTTAGTACTTATTAAATTATACCCTGAAATTTCTCCATAATATAAAAGTTAACTTTTCAATCAAATGTGTACAAATTGGATATTGTACATTTGTGTAATCATAATTCTATGTTGTACATGCAAGAAAATAGTCAAAATAGGGAGGCACAACATGTCAAAATATTCTAATTTAATGCCAGTGTAGCTCAATATGTTCTTTCCAGTAGCTCTGAACTAAATTGATGAACAGCAGGCTAAATGAGGAAAAAGAAGAGCTAAATGAGGAAAAAGAAGAGCTAAATGCATGCTGAACAAAGCTTATAAAAGGAAAACAATTTGCTGTCAAATAGCAAGAAAGGATGTGCTATTTAAGGTTACATCTCAGACAAGGATCACTAATAAAGAACCAATCATTTTGACAACCTTAGGGCAATTACATTATTTTTAAAAAGATAATCATATGAGGTAATCAAAAAATATTTAACAATGATAATTAGAAATGTAGAATTACTTGAGTCTCATTTTATTCTAATAAAATATATGGCAAATCTGTCTACCCTTAGGAATGAGAAATAGAATGGCAAACAATGAAAGTATTTAAAATGGTGAGGGAAGAGACAATCCTAAGAGGAAGACCCACAAAAACCATGGTGACTCAATTTTATACAGGCTAGATGTGATCAATACTCTTCCCAATCATTTGATTAAATGATTAAAGGGGCAGGGCAGTTCCAAGATGGCCGAATAGGAACAGCTCCATTCTACAGCTCCCAGCATGAGCGACACAGAAGCATTTCCAAGTGAGGTACCGGGTTCATCTCACTGGGGCTTGTCGGACAGTGGGGGCAGGACAGTGGGTGCAGCGCCCAAGTGTGAGCCGAAGCAGGGCAAGGCATCGCCTCACCCGGGAAGTGCAAGGGATCAGGGAATTCCGTTTCCTAGCCAAGGAAAGCAATGACGGACAGCACCTGGAAAATCAGGTCACTCCCACACTAATACTGTGCTTTTCCAAGGGTCTTAGCAAACGGCACACCAGGAGATTATATCCCGTGCCTGGTTCGGAGGGGCCCATGCCCACGGAGCCTCGCTCATTGCTAGCACAGCAGTCTGAGATCAATCTGCAAGGAGGCAGCGAGGCTGGGCGAGGGGTGCCCGCCATTGCTGAGGCATGAGTAGGTAAACAAAGTGGCCAGGAAGCTCGAACTGGGTGGAGCCCACTGCAGCTCAAGGAGGCCTGCCTGCCTCTGTAGACTCCACCACTGGGGGCAGGGCATAGCTGAACAAAAGGAAGCAGAAACCTCTGCAGACTTAAATGTCCCTGTCTGACAGCTTTGAAGTGAGTAGTGGTTCTCCCAGCATGGAGTTTGAGATCTGAGAACAGACAGACTGCCTCCTCAAGTGGGTCCCTGACCCCCGAGTAGCCTAACTAGGAGGCATCCTCCAGTAGGGGCAGACTGACACCTCACACGGCCAGGTATCCCTCTGAGACGAAGTTGCCAGAGGAACGATAAGGCAGCAACATTTGCTGTTCAGTAACATTCGCTGTTCTGCAGCCTCTGCGGCTGATACCCAGGCAAACAGGGTCTGGAGTGGACTTCCAGCAAACTCCAACAGACCTACAGCTGAGGGTCCTGTCTGTTAGAAGGAAAACTAACAAACAGAAAGGACATCCACACCAAAACTCCATCTGTACGTCACCATCATCAAAGACCAAAGGTAGATAAAACCACAAAGATGGGGAAAAAAACAAAGCAGAAAAGCTGAAAATTCTAAAAATCAGAGCGCCCCTCCCCCTCCAAAGCTACGCAGCTCCTCGCCAGCAATGGAACAAAGCTGAATGGAGAATGACTTTGACGAGTTGAGAGAAGAAGGCTTCAGACAATCAAACTTCTCTGAGCTAAAGGAGGAAGTTCAAACCCATCGCAAAGAAGCTAAAAACCTTGAAAAAAGATTAGACGAATGGCTAACTAGAATAACCAATGCAGAGAAGTCCTTAAAGGACCTGATACAGCTGAAAAACATGGCACGAGAACTACGTGACACAGCACAAGCTTCAGTAGCTGATTTGATCAACTGGAAAAAAGGGTATCGGTGATTGAAGATCAAATGCATGAAATGAAGTGAGAAGAGAAGTTTAGAGAAAAAAGAGTAAAACGAAACAAACAAAGCCTCCAAGAAATATGGGACTATGTGAAAAGACCAAATCTATGTCTGATTGGTGTACCTGAAAGTGACAGGGAGAATGGAACCAAGTTGGAAAACACTCTGCAGGATATTATCTAGGAGAACTTCCCCAATCTAGCAAGGCAGGCCAACATTCAAACTCAGGAAATACAGAGAATGCCACAGAGATACTCCTCGAGAAGAGCAACTCCAAGACACACAATTGTCAGATTCACCAAAGTTGAAATGAAGGAAAAACTGTTAAGGGCAGCCAGAGAGAAAGGTCAGGTTACCCACAAAGGGAAGCCCATTAGACTAATAGCGGATCTCTCGGCAGAAACTCTACAAGCCAGAAGAGAGTGGGGGCCAATATTCAACATTCTTAAAGAAAATAATTTTCAACCCAGAATTTCATATCCAGCCAAACTAAGCTTCATAAGTGAAGGAGAAATAAAATCCTTTACAGACAAGCAAATGCTGAGAGATTTTGTCACCACCAGACCTGCCCTACAAGAGCTCCTGAAGGAAGCACTAAACATGGAAAGGAACAACCAGTAGCAGCCACTGCAAAACCATGCCAAATTGTAAAGACCATCGATGCTAGGAAGAAACTGCATCAACTAACAAGCAAAATAACCAGCTAACATCATAATGACAGGACCAAATACACATAACAATATTAACCTTAAATGTAAATAGGCTAAATGCATCAATTAAAAGACACAGACTGGCAAATTGGATAAAGAGTCAAGACCCATCAGTGTGCTATATTCAGGAGACCCATCTCATGTTCAGAGACACACATAGGCTCAAAATAAAGGGATGGAGGAAGATTTTCCAAGCAAATGGAAAACAAAAAAAGGCAGGGGTTGCAATCCTAGTCTCTGATAAAACAGACTTTAAACCAACAAAGATCAAAAGAGACAAAGAAGGCCATTACATAATGGTAAAGGGATCAATTCAACAAGAAGAGCTAACTATCCTAAATATATATGCACCCAATAGAGGAGCACCCAGATTCATAAAGCAAGTTCTTAGAGGCCTACAAAGGGACTTAGACTCCCACACAATAATAATGGGAGACTTTAACACCCCACTGTCAACATTAGACAGATCAACGAGACAGAAAGTTAACAAGGATATCCAGGAATTGAACTCAGCTCGGCATCAAGCAGACCTAATAGACATCTACAGAACTCTCCACCCCAAATCAACAGAATATACATTCTTCTCACCACCTCATCACACTTACTCCAACATTGACCACATAGTTGGAAGTAAAGCTCTCCTCAGCAAATGTAAAAGAATAGAAATTATAACAAACTATCTCTCAGACCACAGTGCAATCAAACTAGAACTCAGGATTAAGAAACTCACTCAAAACTGCTCAACTACATGGAAACTGAACAACCTGCTCCTGAATGACTACTGGGTACATAAGGAAATGAAGTCAGAAATAAAGATGTTCTTTGAAACCAATGAGAACAAAGACAGAACATACCAGAATCTCTGGGACACATTCAAAGCAGTGTGTAGAGGGAAATTTATAGCACTAAATACCCACAAGAGAAAGCAGGAAAGATCCAAAATTGACACCCTAACATCACAATTAAAAGAACTAGAAAAGCAAAAGCAAACACATTCAAAAGCTAGCAAAAGGCAAGAAATAACTAAGATCAGAGGAGAACTATAGGACATAGAGACACAAAAAACTCGAAAAAATCAATGAATCCAGGAGCTGGTTTTTTGAAAAGATCAACAAAATTGATACACTGCTTGCAAGACTAATAAAGAAGAAAAGAGAGAAGAATCAAATAGACACAATAAAAAATGATAAAGGGGAGATCACTACCTATCCCACAGAAATACAAACTACCATCAGAGAATACTATGAACACCTCTATGCAAATAAACTAGAAAATCTAGAGAAATGGATAAACTCGTGGACACATACACCCTCCCAAGACTAAACCAGGAAGAAGTTGAATCCCTGAATAGACCAATAACAGGCTCTGAAATTGAGGCAATAATTAATAGCCTACCAACCAAAAAAAGTCCAGGACCAGATGGATTCACAGCCGAATTCTACCAGAGGTACAAGCAGGAGGTGGTACCATTCCTTCTGAAAGTATTCCAATCAATAGAAAAAGAGGGAATCCTCCCTAACTCATTTTATGAGGCCAGCATCATGCTGATACCAAAGCCTGGCAGAGACCCAACAAAAAAAGAGAATTTTAGACCAACATGCCTGATGAACATTGATGCAAAAATCCTGAATAAAATACCGGCAAACCAAATCCAGCAGCACATCAAAAAGCTTATCCACCATGACCAAGTGGGCTTCATCCCTGGGATGCAAGGCTGGTTCAACATATGCAAATCAATAAACATAATCTAGCATATAAACAGAACCAAAGACAAAAACCACACGATTATCTCAATAGATGCAGAAAAGGCCTTTGACAAAATTCAACAACCTTCATGCTAAAAACTCTCAATAAATTAGGTATTGAAGGGACATATCTCAACATAATAAGAGCTATTTATGACAAACCCACAGCCAATATCATACTGAATGGGCAAAAACTGGAAGCATTCCCTTTGAAAACTGGCACAAGAGAGGGATGCCCTCTCTCACCACTCCTATTCAACACAGTGTTGGAAATTCTGGCCAGGGCAATGAGGCAGGAGAAAGAAATAAAGGATATTCAATTAGGAAAAGAGGAAGTCAAATTGTCCCTGTTTGCAGATGACATGATTGTATATTTAGAAAACCCCAATGTCACAGCCCAAAATCTCCTTAAGCTGATAAGCAACTTCAGCAAAGTCTCAGGATACAAAATCAATGTACAAAAATCACAAGCTTTCTTATACACCAATAACAGACAAACAGAGGCCAAATCATGAGTGAACTCCCATTCACTTTTGCTTCAAAGAGAATAGAATACCTAGGAATCCAACTTACAAGGGATGTGAAGGACCTCTTCAAGGAGAACTACAAACCACTGCTCAATGTAATAAAAGAGGATACAAACAAATGGAAGAACATTCCATGCTCATGGGTAGGAAGAATCAATATCGTGAAAATGGCCATACTGCCCAAGGTAATTTATAGATTCATTAATTTATAGATTCAATGCCATCCCCATCAAGCTACCAATGACTTTCTTCACAGAATTGGAAAAAACTACTTTAAAGTTCATATGGAACCAAAAAAGGGCCCGCATTGCCAAGACAATCCTAAGCCAAAAGAACAAAGCTGGAGGCATCACGCTACCTGACTTCAAACTATACTACAAAGCCATAGTAACCAAAAGAGCATGGTACTGGTACCAAAACAGAGATATAGACCAATGGAACAGAACAGAGCCCTCAGAAATAGTACCACACATCTACAACCATCTGATCTTTGACAAACCTGACAAAAACAAGAAATGGGGAAACGATTCCCTATTTAATAAATGGTGCTGGGAAAACTGGCTAGCCATATGTAAAAAACTGAAACTGGATCCCTTCCTTACACCTTATACAAAAATTAATTCAAGATGGATTAAAGACTTAAATGTTAGACCTAAAACCATAAAAACCCTAGAAGAAAACCCAGGCAATACCATTCAGGACATAGGCATGGGCAAGGACTTCATGTCTAAAACACCAAAAGCAATGGCAACAAAAGCCAAAATTGACAAATGGGATCTAATTAAACTAAAGATCTTCTACCCAGCAAAAGAAACTACCATCAGAGTGAACAGGCAACCTACAGAATGGGAGAAAATTTTTGCAATCTACTCATCTGACAAAGGGCTAATATCCAGAATCTACAAAGAACTCAAACAAATTTACAAGAAAAAAAAACAAACAACCCTATCAAAAAGTGGGCAAAGGATATAAACAGACACTTCTCAAAAGAAGACATTTATGCAGCCAAAAGACACATGAAAAAATGTTAATCATCACTGGCCATCAGAGAAATGCAAATCAAAACCACAATGAGATACCATCTCACACCAGTTAGAATGGTGATCATTAAAAAGTCAGGAAACAACAGATGCTGGAGAGGATGTGGAGAAATAGGCACACTTTTACACTGTTGGTAGGACTGTAAACTAGTTCAACCATCGTGGAAGACAGTGTGGCAATTCCTCAAGGATCTAGAACTAGAAATACCATTTGACCCAGCCATCCCATTACTGGGTATATACCCAAAGGATTATAAATCATGCTGCTATAAAGACACATGCACATGTATGTTTATTGTGGCACTATTCACAATAGCAAAGACTTGGAACCAAGCCAAATGTCCATCAGTTATAGATGGGACTAAGAAAATGTGGCACATATACACCATGGAATACTATGCAGCCATAAAAAAGATGAGTTCATGTCCATTGTAGGGACATGGATGAAGCTGGAAACCATCACTCTCAGCAAACTATCATAAGGACAAAAAACCAAACACCGCATATTCTCACTCATAGGTGGGAATTGAACAATGAGAACACTTGGACACAGGAAGGGGAACATCACACACCGGGGCCTGTTGTGGGGTGGGCGGAGGGGGGAGGGATAGCATTAGGAGATATACCTAATGTAAATGACGAGTTAATGTGTGCAGCACACCAACATGGCTCATGTATACATATGTAACAAACCTGCACGTTGTGCACATGTACCCTAGAACTTAAAGTATAATTTAAAAAATGATTAAAGGGCTAAATATGCCCAATAATAAAAGCTTTACTTGCTGTATTAGTCTGCTTTCACACTGCTATAAAGAACTGCTCCAGACTGGGTAATTTATAAAGGAAAAAGGTTTAATTGACTCACAGTTCCTCATGGCTGGGGAGGCCTCAAAAAACAATCATGGCAGATGGCAAAGGGAGAAAGCAAGGCCCTTCTTCACATGGTGGCAGGAGAGAGAAGAACTCACAAGAGCAGGGATAACTGCCTTATAAGCCATCAGATCTCATGAGAACTCACTCACTATCACAAGAACAGCATGGGGGAAACTGCACTTCCCACCAGGTCTCTCCCTAAACAACTGGGGATTACAATTCTAGATAAGATTTGGGTGCGGACGCAAAGCCTACCTATATCACTTGCCTAAGATTAATGTGCACTCTTACCAGAAAACAGCCCGTTTCCAAAGTAATGAGTAAGTGGAACCAACAGAGGCTAGATTGAGCAACATTTGGTTGCCTCACAAGCAAAGAAGAGAAATATTTTAGGACAAGCCTTCATGTTATATGGTTTCAAGGCAGACGCTACCATTTTACCCAAGAAAAGCAGGGCTATGGTACTGCACAAGCCCAGAAGCACAAGTCACATAGAACACAGTGATGCCTGGAGCAAAATGGTGACTTCATACCCTGGGATGCAAGGGAAGAGCTGACAAGACAAAGCTAATAGAAAATAAATGCAGTAAAAGGTAACAATTTTAATGTCTTTACCTACAAAGGAATGTACTTTCTAATGACCAGGCTTCATATCTCAATTCATAACATTGTTTAAGTACACAAGAAAGACTATGTGTGTGAAAAGTGTATTGTATTTTTTTCATATAAATTTTCAGCTGACACGCTGTTTCATTAGCTAACTTCACCATAGAAACGCAACTGTGTTAAAAGGCAATCACAGGGTGGATACAGACACGGGGCTGGTTCTACCCTTGGACAGCCAGCCACAAGATGAAGGTTGAAGGACAACAACAATTCAACCCCAAGATCCCTCTTTAATATTTCCACCATTAGAATCCATGGAATTAAATTATACTACCTCTTAGAGACCCATGTTAAATGCAACTAGGAGACACCTGAGCAATTGCTCAACTAGGAGACACTTGAGATTGCACTCAGCTGCAAGTAACAGATGCCTCACTCACCTGACAGGAATTTACTTATTTCATGCCAGGAGTCTTGCAGGAATAGCTACAGAGCTGGTATGTCACTGAGGTCCCAGATTCTTCTGTATTTTTGCTTTGCCTTTCTTGGTGTCTGACTTTCTCCCTTAAGGCCCCAGAACGGCCACTACAAGTTCTATCTGCTATTACAAAGCTGAATAACAACAACAAAAAGTAGCCTGGCAATTGCAGACACCTGACCGTCTTTTAAAAGCCCTATCTCAAGCCGAGGCAGTGGCTCACACCTGTAATCCCAATATTTTGAAAGTCCAAGGAGGGAGGATCTCTTTTGGCTAGGAGTTTGTGACCAGCCTGGGCAACATAGCAAGACCCTCATCTCAACTTAAAAACAAAATTTTAAACTCCCCTCTCCCATTGTTCCCAGGCAAGAGTAAGACTAACTTTTGATGCATATGATTACTCTATTAATTTTAGTTGTAGTCTAAGCATATATTGTTCCTCTATGGTAGCAATGACAAACTGCCAAAAATCATACATCCAGGAGGTGACAAAGCTGGATTTAAACCCAGATTGTCTGAGTCAAGCAGGAGGTTGAGACTCAAATGTTTATATTCCCTTTCTCAGATGAGCTGTGGCAGTAGGCCAAAGCTTTAGCAAAACATCTATTTCTCTCCCAAAAGCTGAGAATAATTTCAACTAAACTGAAAGAAAAGGGGCAATAATGCAAATTCAAAACAGACCCTTTGGTTACAAAAACCATTTTCTAGATCCAGGGATCCTCAGCCACAGGGCTTTAAAAGATTTTTGTAAATGTTAGTTGCTAAAAGCTTTTGTATGAACTATTATATTTTCCCATAGATTAAACATGAACAAATATAAAACATCATCATCAACTTAATTTAAAATACTGCATTCTCTTCACAATGTATCCACTGCTATAGAAAGGACCCTGTTTGATCACCACACCAAGAGCGTAAATACCATTCATGCTAAACTGCATTTTTCATATTAAGTAAATACCTGCTTATAACGTGATAGAAGCAATAGCAAAACAAAGAATACAAATAATGAGAGTTATTAGTGACTATTTCACCATAAACTAGGTTGAAGAACATAGTACTACAATCAAGTCTTCCTCATAAAGATAAAAAATATCCTTTACTAAGTTCGAACAACACACCAACACACAAAAACTACACAGACTTGGTGACAGAGCAGGATTGTTGACATTCCCTTAAGTCAGCAAAAACCTGCCATCACGAAGTCTCACAGGTGGCAAGATAAGTCATGACCTTCTGAAAAGTAAAAACAAGCCTAATAATTTTAAAGGTTAAAGAATAATAGGTTTGTCCTCTGTGTTTTAGGGATTTTTTGTTTTGTTTTTTAAAGCAATGGTCTATCGCTTGTGGGCCTCTTGACTAAGATCAAGTGTAAAGTAAATGGCCTATTGTTTTATGAGGCCATGGCTTGGGAAAGTTGAGACTTGGAAGTTGTGTTTTTGTTTTTGTTTTTACTTTGCCTTTTCTAAATCGAGGGGAAATTCACATAACATAAAATGAACCATTTTAAAGTGAACAATTCAGTAACATTTAGTATGTTCACAATGTGTGCAATCACTACCTCTATCTAGTTTCAGAACATTTTCGTCACTCCAAAATAAAACCCTGTACCCATTTAGCAGTTATTCCCTGTTACCCCTACCCAGGCCCTGGCAACCCCTGATCTGCTTTGTGTTTCAATGAAGAACTTACAACATATCTATTTTAATAACTTTACCCAGAAGTTTTAAAAATTTAAACCTATCCTGTAAAATGGACAGACTTACTAAATAAAATGGACAGACTAAATCAGGGAAATAGTACAATTTAGACACAGCATTTCTAATGGAATGCTTCCTCCTTTTTTTCTTCTTTTAGTATGCTTACCTACAAAATACACATTGCCATAGACTGTGGATATAAACAACTGGTCATTTCACAGTAGTGAAAGGTGTGAAAGCCCCCAGGGTCATAAAAGCACAAAGATTCTCTGTCCTTCTGTGTCTGTGCCAGTTGTCTATTATTTTATTTGGCAGATCCTGACAAGGCCACAACATAGACTTTTAAGTGATATTCCTGGAACTACTTAGCTTTACAAATGTCAAACCACTCCCCAAAACAACTGTGAGCTAAATTGTTATCCATAATATTCTGCTCCAGAAAACAGTCAAAATAAAAGCTGCTACTTTATGGCTCAATTCTCCCCAAAAGCGTATGGGAAATGGTGGTTACAATATAAAAATTTCCTTTGTTGCAGTCCCCATATACAGATCATATTGTCGTATTAGATATAAGTCCATGTGAAGGGAATGAAAAGGAATATGCATAAAAGATGTTCAATCATTTAACAGACATTTATGATGTGCCAGCTAGGAACACAAGAAGAAGGCACTTGGAAGGATATCAGAAAATAATCACAAATACTTAAATGGTGCTTACTCTGCTCCAGGCACTGTTCTAGTGTATGTGTGTGTATTTATATATATTATATACAAATATATATAAAGAGTGTGTGTTAAATTAATTAATTCATTAAATGAGCAGATATATATGCTCATTTAATTTTTATAACAATCATGCAAGAGAGCTTCTATTGTTATCATCCCCACTTCACAGAGAATAAAACTGAGACAGCATGGTCAAATGACTTGTCAGAAGTCTAATATCCAGAATCTATAACGAACATAAATAAATCAACAAGCAAAAAACAACCCCATTAAAAACTTGGCAAATGATCATGGTGGACAGGAGGCAGGACCAGATTCCAGCTCCAACTCAGGTGGACAGAGCAACGTGTGGAGCCTCGCATTGTGAATTTTATCTCCAGAATGACTACAGGAATAAATCAGGAATCCTGAGAGGACCCACAGACTCCTGAAGGAAGCGGACTGATCCTGCGGGACCCGGGAGACACTCCAAATACTGTGAGTGCCCAAACTGTGGAAGTGGGAACGGGAGATACTCTGCCGCTGAACACACACCCCAACCGGGGAAACTGAAGGTCTAGTTCACGGGAGAAGATTCCAACCTTACCTGGAGCTGAGTCCATTTAGAGAGCTGAGTGAAATACAGGGGTACAGAAAGTGGCAGGAAAGGCCCTGGGAACTTGCTGGGTCCCCAAGCAGGCCATTCCTGCCTGAAACCACAGGGATCCTTCAGGAGGGCGGCCAGAGGTGCAGGGAAAATGCCACCGGGAGAAGGAAGTCTCCAGCTGAACTTTGTAACAATTTGAACCAATCAAAAAGCCCCCTGACCAGAACTCGGGGGAGGACGCAAATCCTGCGTACAGACTCCACAGGCAGAGGAAGAACGAAAGCCCTTTTCTTTTGAGGCTGGTAGGCAGGTATCCTGGGGCAAATTCTCAGCCCTGCTTGCCCACTGCCTGCAAACAGACTTGGCACTGTTAGGGAGACATGGTGGGAATAAGACCAGCCTTTTGGATCACATGGGAGCTAGGTGAGGCCTGTGACTGCCGGCTTTCCCCTACTTCCCTGATAACCTGCATGACTCAGCAGAGGCAGCCATAATACTCCTAGGTATACAACTCCAGTAACCTGGGAACCTCACCCCATCCCCCACAGCAGCCACAGCCAGACCTGCTGAAGGAGAGTCTGAGCTCAGACATGCCTAGCCCTGCCCCCATCTCATTGGCCTTCCCTACCCACCCTGGTAGCTGAAGACAAAGGGCATATATTCTTGGGAGTTCTAGGGCCGTGCTCACTACTGGTTCCTCTCCATACTACCACAGCTGATGCTACTGGAAAGCACCAACTCCCGGCAGGAGGCCAACCAGCACAAAAATAGAGCATTAAACCACCAAAGCTAAGAACACTCACAGAATCCATTTCATGCCCTGCCACCTCCACTGGAACAGATGCTGGTATCCACAGCTGAGGGACCCATAGACGGTTCACATCACAGGACTCTGTGCAGACAACTCCCAGTACCAGCCCAGAGCCTGGTAGACTTGCTGGGTGGCTAGACCCAGAAGAGAAATAACAGTCACTACAGCTTGGCTCTCAGGAAGCCAACTCCATAGGAAAAGAGGGAGAGTACTACATCAAGGGAACACCCCATGGGACAAAATAATCTGGACAACACCCTTCAGCCCTAGACCTTTCCTCTGACAGAGCCTATCTACTCAAATGAGAAGGAACCAGAAAACCAACTCAGGTAATATAACAAAACAAGGCTCTTTAACACCCCCAAAAAATCACACTAGCTCATCAGCAATGGATCCAAACCAAGAAGAAATCCCTGGTTTACCTGAAAAACAATACAAGAAGTGAAGGGAGAAATCTTCAAGGAAATAGATAGCATAAAGAAAAAGCAATCAAACCTTTAGGAAACATTGGACACACTTATAGAAATGCAAAATGCTCTGGAAAGTCTCAGCAACAGAATTGAACAAGTAGAAGAAAGAAATTCAGAGCTCGAAGACAAGGTCTTTGAATTAACCCAATCGAACAAAGACAAAGGAAAAAGAATAAGAAAATATAAACAAAGCCTCCAAGAAGTCTTGGATTATGTTAAACTACCAAACCTAAGAATAATCAGTGTTCTTGAGAAAGAAGAGAATTCTAAAAGCTAGAAAAACATATGTGGGCAAATAATTGAGAAAAACCTCCGCAGCCTTGCTAGAGGCCCACACATTCAAATACAAGAAGCACAAAGAACACCTGGGAAATTATTGCAAAAATCATCACCTAGGCATACTGTCATCAGGTTATCTAAACTTAAGACGAAGGAAAGAATCTTAAGAGCTGTGAGACAAAAGCAACAAGGTAACCTATAAAGCAAAACCTACCAGATTAGCAGCAGATTTCTCAGCAGAAACCCTACAAGCTAAAAGGGATTGGGACCCTACCTTCAGCCTCCTCAAACAAAACAATTATCAGCCAAGAATTTTTTATCCACTGAAACTAAGCATCGCATATGATGGAAAGTACAGTCTTTTTCAGACAAACAAATGCTGACAGAATTCGCCACTACCAAGCCACCACTACAAGAACTGCTAAAAGGAGCTCTAAATATTGAAACAAATCCTGGAAACACATCAGAACAGAACCTCTTTAAAGCATAAATCTCACAGGACCCATAAAACAAAAATACAATTTACAAAGTAAAAACAGGCCAGGCACAGTGGCTCATGCCTGTAATCCCAGTACTTTGGGAGGCAGAGATGGGCAGATCACCTAATGTCATGAGTTTAAGAACCATCCTGTCCAACATGGCAAAACCCCATCTCTACCAAAGAATACAAAAATTAGCCAGGTGTGGTGGCAGGCACCTGTAATCCCAACTACTCAGGAGGGTGAGGCAGGAGAAACGATTGCGCCAAGGTGGAGGTGGAGGTTGCAGTGAGCCAAGATTGTGCCACTGCACTCCAGCCTGGGAAACAGAGCAAGACTCTGTCTCCAAACAAACAAACAAAAAAAATCAAAAGCAAAAAATGAAACACCAAGGTATACAGGCAACAAATAGCATGATAAACGCGATGGTACCTCACATCTCAATATTAACATTGAACGCAAATGGCCTAAATGCTCCACTTAAAAGATACAGAACTGCAGAATGGATAAGAATTCACCAACCAACCATCTGCTGCTTTCAAGAGACTCACCTAACACATAAGGACTCACATAAACTTAAAGTAAAGGGGTGGAAAAAGGCATTTCACGCAAATTGACACCAAAAGTGAGCAGAAGTAGCTATTCTTATATCAGACAAAACAAACTTTAAAGCAACAGCAGTTTAAAAAGACATTTTTTTAAAAAGCAGTTAAAAAGAGGGACATTATATAATGGTAAAGGAAGGACAAGGTTCCTTGTCCAACAGGAAAATATCACAATCCTAAACATACATGCACCTAACTAACACTGGAGTTCCCAAATTAATAAAACAATTACTAATATGCCTAAGAAATGAGACAGACAGCAACACAATAATAGTGGGGGACTTTAATACTCCATTGACAGCACTAGACAGGTAATCAATATAGAAAGTCAAAACAGAAACAATGGATTTTAAACTATACCTTGGAATACATGGACTTAACAGATTTATACAGAACATTCCATCCTACAACTACAAAATACACATTCTATTCAACAGCTCATGGAACTTTCTCCAAGGTAGACCATGTGATAGGCCACAAAATGAGCCTCAATAAATTTCAGAAAATTGAAGTTATATCAAGCACTCTCTCAGACCACAGTGGAATAAAACTGGAAATCAACTCCAAAAGGAATCTTCAAAACCATGCCAACACAGGGAAATTGAATAACCTGCTCCTGAATGATCACTGGGTCAAAAACAAAATCAAGATGGGAATTAAAAAATTATTTGAACTGAACAACAATAGTGATAAAACCTATCAAAATTTCTGAGATAAAGCAAAGGCATTGCTAAGAGGAAAGTTCATAGCCCTAAACACCTACATCAAAAAGACTGAAAAAACACAAACTGACATTCTAAGGTCACACCCCAAGGAACTAGAGAAACAAGAACAAACCAAACCCAAACCCAGCAGAAGAAAGGAAATAACCAGGATCAGAGCAGAATTAAATGAAATTGAAACAAAAAAAATACAAAAGATAAATGAAAAAAAAAAAGCTGGTTCTTTGAAAAGATAAATAAAATTGATAGACCATTAGCAAGATTAACCAAGAAAAGAAGGGAGAAAATCTAAACAAGTTCGATAAGAAATGAAACGGGAGTTATTACAACTGACACCACAGAAATGCAAAAGATCATTCAAGGCTACTATAAACACCTTTATGCACATAAACTAGAAATCCTAGAAAAGATGGATAAATTCCTGGAAAAACACAACCCACCTAGCTTAAATCAGGAAGAATGAGATACCCTGAACAGACCAATAACAAGCAGCAAGATTGAAAGAGTAATTTAAAAATTACCAACCAAAAAAATGTCCAGAACCAGATGGATTCACAGCAGAATACTACCAGACATTCAAAGAAGAATTTGTACCAATCCTATTGACACTATTCCACAAGATAGAGAAAGAGAAAAGTCTGGAGCATTTAGGATTTTAGCATGTATGAATCATTCTAAATCATTCTATGAAGCCAGTATCACCCTAATACCAAAACCAGGAAGGGACGTAACCAAAAAAGAAAACTATAGACCAAGATCCCTGATGAACATAGATGCTAAAATCCTTGACAAAATAGTAGCTAACCAAATCCAACAACATATCAAAAAGATAATCCACCATGATCAAGTGGGTTTCATACCAGGGATGTAAGGATGGTTTAACATATGCAAGCCAGTAAATGTGATACACCACATAAACAGAATTAAAAACAAAAATCACATGATCATCTCAATACATGCAAAAAAAGCATTCAGTGAAATCCAGCATCTCTTTATGATTAAAACTCTCAGCAAAATCGGCATACAAGGAACATAACTCAAAATAATAAAAGCCATCTATGACAAACCCACAGCCAACATAATACTGAATGAGGAAAAGTTGAAAGCATTCCCTCTGAGAACTGGAACAAAACAAAGATGCCCATTCTCACCAGTCAACATAGCACTGGAAGTTCTAGCCAGAGCAATCAGACGAGAGAAAGAAATTAAGGACATCCAAAGTAGTAAAGAGGAAGCCAAACTGTTGCTGTTTGATGACAATATGATGGTGGTATGGATGTGGTGATCAGGGAACACTTCTACACTGCTGGTGGGAAAGAAAACTAGTACAACCACTATGGAAAACAGTGTGGAGATTCCTTAAAGAACTAAAAGTAGAACTACCATTTGATCCAGCAATCCCACTACTGGGTATCTACCCAGAGGAAAAGAAGTCACTAATAGAAAAAGATACTTGCACATGCATGTTTATAGCAGCACAATTTGCAATTGCAAAATCTCAAAAACTCTAAAGACTCCTCCAGAAAGCTCCTAGAACTGATAGAAGAATTCAGCACAGTTTCTGGATACAAGATTAATATACAGAAATTGGTAGCTCTTCACCAACAGCGACCAAGCTGAGAATCAAATCAAGAACTCAACCCCTTTTACAATAGCTGCAAAAAAAAATAAAATACTTAGGAATATACCTAACAAAGCAAGCAAGAGACCTCTACAAGGAAAACTACAAAACACTGCGGAAAGAAATATAGACAACTCAAACAAATGAAAACACATCCCATGCTCATGGATGGGTAGAATCAATATTGTGAAAAAGACCATACTGCCAAAAGCAATCTACAAATTCAACACAATCCTAAAAAAAACCACCATCATTCTTCACAGAATAAGAAAAAACAATTCTAAAATTCAAATGGAATCAAAAAAAGAGCCTGCATAGCCAAAGCAAGGCTAAGCAAAAGAACAAATCTGGAGGCATCACATTACCTGATTTCAAACTATACTATAAGGCCATAGTCACCAAAACAGCATGGTACTGGTGTAAAAATATGCACATAGTCCAATGGAATAGACTAGAGAACTCAAAGATAAGCCCAAATACTTACAGCCAACTGATCTTCAACAAAGCAAGCAATAACATAAAGTGAGGAAAGGACACCCTTTTCAACAAATTGTGCTGGGATAATTGGCTAGCCACATGTAGGAGAATAAAACTGGATCCTCATCCCTCACCTTATGCAAAAATCAACTCAAGATGGATTAAGGATTTAAACCTAAGAACTGAAACTATAAAAATTCTAGAAGATAACATTGGAAAAAACCTTCTAGACATTGGCTTAGGCAAGGATTTCATAACCAAGAACCCAAAAGCAAATGCAATAAAAACAAAGATAAATAGCTGGGACTTAATTAAATTAAAGAGCTTTTGCATGGCAAAAGGAACAGTCAGCAGAGTAAACAAACAACCAACAGAGTGGGGGAAAATCTTCACAATCTGTATATCTGATGAAGGACTAATAACCAGAATCTACAATGACCTCAAACAAATCAGTAAGAAAAAAAAATCACATCAAAAAGTGGTCTGAGGACATGAATAAACAATTCTCAAAAGAAGATATACAAATGGCCAAAAAACATATGAAAAAATGCTCAACATCATTAATGATCATGATCAGAGAAATGCAAATCAAAACCACAATGTGATACCACCTGACTCCTGCAAGAATGGCCATAATCAAAAAATAAAAAAACACTAGCTGCTGGCATGGATGTAGTGATTAGGGAACACTTCTACACTGCTGGTGGGAAAGTAAACCAGTACAACCACTATGGAAAACAGTGTGGAGATTCCTTAAAGAACTAAAAGTAGAACTACCATTTGATCCAGCAATCCCACTACTGGGTATCTACCCAGAGGAAAAGAAGTCACTAATAGAAAAAGATACTTTCACATGCATGTTTATAGCAGCACAATTTGCAATTGCAAAATCGAGGAACCAACCCAAATGCCCATCAAAAAATGAGTGGATAAAGAAACTGTATATATATGTGAATATATATATATGTGAATATACA
This sequence comes from Homo sapiens, assembly GCF_000001405.40. Lineage (NCBI taxonomy): Eukaryota > Metazoa > Chordata > Mammalia > Primates > Hominidae > Homo > Homo sapiens. Next base: position 38,938,503 of record NC_000014.9, read on the forward strand.
TATATATGTGAATATATATATATGTGAATATATATATATATGATGGAATACTACTCAGCCATAAAAAGGAATGAATTAATGGTATTTGCAGAAACCTGGATGAGATTGGAGACTGTTATTCCAAGTAACTCAGGAATGGAAAACCAAACATTGTATGTTCTCACTGATATGTGGGAGCTAAGCTATGAGGAAACAAAGGCATAAGAATAATACAATGGACTTTGGGGACTTGGAGGGAAGGGTGGGAGGGGGTGAGGGATAAAAGACTACAAATAGGGTGCAGTGTGTACTGCTTGGGTGGTGGGTACACCAAAATCTCACAAATCACCACTAAACAACTTACTTATGTAACAAAACACCACCTGTACCCCAATAACTTATGCAAAAATAAAAAATAAAAAAAAGTGGGCAAAGGGCATGAACAGACACTTCTCAAAAGAAGACATACAAGCAGCCAACAGACGTGAAAAATTTTCAGCATTACTAATAGTCAGAGAAATGCAACTCAAAACCACAATGGGATGCCATCTCACACCAGTCAGAATGGCTTTTGTTAAAAAGTCAAAAAATAGGCCGGGCGCGATGGCTCACACCTGTAATCCCAGCACTTTGGGAGGCCAAGGCAGGTGGATCATGAGGTCAGGAGATCGAGACCATCCTGGCTAACACAGTGAAACCCCCGTCTCCACTAAAAATACAAAAAATTAGCCGGGCGTGGTGGCGGGTGCCTGTAGTCCCAGCTACTCAGGAGGCTAAGGAAGGAGAATGGTGTGAACCTGGGAGGCAGAGCTTGCAGTAAGCCGAGACCGTCCCACTGCACTCCAGCCTGGGCGACAGAGTGAGACTCCGTCTCAAAAAAAAGAAAAAAAAAAGTCAAAAAATAACATACGTCGGTGAGCTGTGGAGAAAAGGGGACATTTATACATTGCTGGTGGGGATGTAAATTAGTTCAGCCACTGTGGAGAGCAGATTGGAGATTTCTCAGAGAACTAAGAATTGAACTATCATTCGACCCAGCAATCCCATTACTGGGTATACACCCAAAGGAAAATAAATTGTTCTACCAAAAGAATACAGACACTCTTATGTTCATTTGCAGCGCTATTCACAATAGCAAAGACATGGAATCAACCCAGGTGCCCATTAACAGTGGACTGGATAAAGAAAATTTGACATATGTACTATGGAATACTATACATCATAAAAAAGAACAAAATCATGTCCTTTGCAGCAACATGTATACAGCTGAAGGCCATTATCCTAAGTGAACTATCACAGAAACAGAAAACCAAATATCTCATATTCTCACTTGTAAGTGGAAGCTAAACACTGGGTACACAGGGATACAAAGATGGGAACAATAAACAGTGAAGATTACTAGCAGGAGGAAAGAGGGATAGGGACAAAGGCTGAAAACTGCCTATTGGGTACTATACTCACTACCTGGTGACAGGATCATTAGTACCCCAAACCTCAGGATGTCTCTGTAACAATCCTGCACATGTACCCCCAACTCTAAAATAAAAGTTGAAAAAGTAAAAAAAAAAAAAACAATTTGTCAGAAGTCACACAGCTCCTAGAATTTAGATTCTAGGCTTTTGATTCAAATCCAGGATTTGGCACTGGCCACTTAGCTCCAGAGTCCATGCTCTTAAGCCCCAGGCCACACAGCCCAAGTTGAGACTTTTAGAGAAGTCTGCTATTTCATTGCTGAACTACATAGCATAATTGATGACAGGTATACACAGGCTACAAAAAAAAAAAAAAGAGAGAGATTCCTTTGTTGTATTATAGTGACTTATGAGTGTTTTTTTGTTTTTGGGGTTTGTTTTTTTTTTTTTTGAGACGGAGTCTCGCTGTGTCACCAGGCTGGAGTGCAGTGGTGCAATCTCGGCTCACTGCAACCTCCACCTCCCGGGTTCAAGAGATTCTCCTGCCTCAGACTCCCAAGTAGCTGGGACCACAGGCACGTGCCACCACACCCAGCTAATTTTTGTATTTTTAGTAAGGTTTCACCATATTGGCCAGGATGGTCTCGATCTCTTGACCTTGTGATCCGCCCACCTCAGCCTGCCGAAGTGCTGGGATTATAAGCGTCAGCCACTGTGCCTGGCCTTATGAGTGTTTCTTAGCTCCCTCAGTAGAATACCTGGAGTCCAGACTCCTTTAAGGCTAATTGCATGCTGATTCCAATCTTATATCCCACTTAGAATAGTACTTTGTGTAATAGAGGATTTAGCAAATGTACCAAGTCCACTATGTTATACAATACCACAAAGATCCCCCAGAGAGTGATGTAATGTGCTTCAGACTTGTCATATGGCAGCTGCTATGGAACAGTAAACTTCTAATTGTGTCAATAAATAGCATGGATGAGATATGCCAAGCACCATTCCAACCAACACAAGCAGTGGTCTGGGAACAGTGCTGCAAAGATGGCAAGGTGCTGTGTCCAAAGATCTCACAGAGTCAAACATAGGTAATTGTACACATTTTGTTTTGTTTTTTGTTTTGTTTTGTTTTGTTTTGTTTTGTTTTTTGAGACAGAGTATCACTCTTATTGCCTAGGCTGGAGGGCAATGGCGCAATCTCAGCTCACCACAACCTCCACCTCCCAGGTTCAAGCAATTCTCCTGCCTCAGTCTCCCAAGTAGCTGGGGTTACAGGCATGCACCACCATGCTCAGCTAATTTTGTATTTTTAGTACAGATGGGGCTTCTCCATGTTGGTCAGGCTGGTCTTGAACTCCCGACCTCAGGTAATCTGCCCTCCTCGGCCTCCCAAAGTGCTGGGATTACAGGTGTGAGCCACCGCTCCCGGCCTGCACACATTTTTGTGCAAAAGAAATTACCTCTGCTTCTTCCCAAAAGCCTGAAATACAAAAGTAAAGGAATGAACACTAATAAACCCAAAATCATAAGAAGCTCAGTAAAGGAAATGATGTTAAATGTTAATTAATTTTGGAAGATGGTAAATAAATGGGCAAGGAATTTGGGGGAATAAGAGACAAAGTCTACCTCATAGGTAGGGTGTGGCACAGGGCTAATAGAAGACTTTTTCGGATTCTTCATCAATAGTAGTAGAGTCCCAGGTCACCTCCTCCCAACAAACACAAGATAGGCAGAAGACAAGTTTACTTCTGGAGAGGCCGAACTGGAGGTGCCCTGTGCTCCAGGCACAGCTGAGGGCAGCACTGAGGTAAAATTAAAACCGAGGAACAAAGTAAAAGTCTACATACTGAATAAACAAGAACCCCACCCCTTTCTCTCATTCGGCTCTGAGAATATAGGCTTATATTCCTCAAAAAGAAGATCAGAAAATTCCTCTCCAAAGGAAGTCATCAGCCTCTTAGAAATAATTGTGGTACTAACTTCTTAAACTATTTAAAAAGATTTTTTTGCCATTTTACACACCCACACATAAATACATACCAAAAAATTCTAAGCTCCTTAAAAACTAAATTTGTATCCTAGTCATATTTCCAGCCCATAAGACAGAGCTTTGCATGTAATAAATGCTCAGTAAATATTCATTGAACATAAATTTCAGCTGGAAAACTTCTAAGAATACAATATTTACTGCTATGCATCTAGACATGGAGTTCGATTCTTAACAGCCAAAAACTGTTCCCCCAAAACTTCCTAACTCCAACTAAAAACCGAAACCAAAGTGGCCAAGAGTATTTGTTGTGCTCAGGGTGAATATATAACACAACCTCTTCTCTCTGCTTCCTCCAGTGTGGTGTTCAGAAGCCCACTGTGTAAACTTAGATGAGATTATAGCACTGATCTTCATAATCAAAGATGGTGGTTTGATGATTGGTGCCCACACAATCTAAATAAATACATTGTATTTTCTATGGCCTATTTAGTAACATTATGATCACCTTATAAATGAAGTTTTAAGTTTGAAAACTTCTTAAAGTTGTTGAGATTTTTTTGATATGTTTTCTTTTCCTCAGAGTGAAACTCATTGCATTAGATTTTATTTATTTATTTATTTATGTATTTATTTATTTGAGACAGTCTTGCTCTGTCGCCCAGGCTGGAGTGCAGTGGTGTGATCTCTGGTCACTGTAACTCCCGCCTCCTGGATTCAAGTGATTCTCCTGCCTTAGCCTTCCAAGTAGCTGGGATTACAGGCGCCCACCACCATGCCTAGCTAATTTTTGTATTTTTAGTAGAGATGGGGTTTCACCATGTTGGCCAGGCTGATCTCAAACTCCTGACCACAAGTGAACCACCCACCTCGGCCTCCCCAAGTGCTGGGATTACAGATGTGAGCCACCATGCCTGGCCAGATATTATTTTTTGTTAAAGAGGAAGGAATGGTAATTAAGCACTTAAAAATATAGAAAGTTTTATTACAAGATAAAAGTTGGAAAATATGCACTTTACTTCTATAATTTTTTAACATTCCCTAGCCCAGGCTACACTGATTTTATGCTGTCAGTTCTGGGAAGACATCTGTGGTATTCGTCACTATCCGTTAATATTAGCTGTTGATAAGTGTCACTAAGTGATTTTGAGGTTTTAAAAAGCAATTGGTGCCTTGGGAGTTTTCAGCAAGGCTGTGCACATACCAACAGTTGGCAACAGTTCAGGAATGGGGTGGCCAAGTCGCTGACCTTTTCTTTAAGCAAACAGGTACAGAAGAAGGAGAATGGCAATAAGGGGAAAAGGCAGAAGCAAGAATCATTTTTTTTTTTTGATAGATGAGATCAGCTTCACTTAGAGAATAAACTTTTACATTATGATGCAAGGTTGGAAAACAGCAATTCTGAAACAAAGGGTGCGTTCAAGGAGGATGATTATACGTGATCCTCACAACAGCCTTGCAGGGTAAGTATTTTCACCTCCACCGTAGAGATGACAAAAACAAATATCCAGAGAGTATGTCTCTGGTGGTGGACAGACCACCAGCGACCATCCTTAACACCTTCTTCCTCCATCCCGGCAGTGGGTGTGCCGTGGCCTCATTGAGACATCCTTCCCTTTGAGCAGTCAAGCAGGAACAGCTTCTCGGAGCTCTGCCTCCTTCTCCTGGCTCTGCACTGAGGATTTCACTTCTCTAGCAACCCTTGGATAAGCACTGCTCATCACTCCATATCCCTGAGTCAAGAATGGTGCAGGAGAGTTCTTACTCTATAATGCTTCTTCTCCTTTACATAAAAGTCACTCCTCTAGAGGACATGTCACTTTGTACACCACCCCTTGCTTTCCATAATGCCATCATCTACCCACCTCCATGTCAGACCCATCAAAGAAGTCTTTGATATGAGGATCACTCTATTATTCCTTTCAACTGCTGGAAGAATGATGCAAAAAAGACAGTGGATGTGACCCAAGTTCGCTTCGCTTCTACTTTGCCATTTTGCCTGTGGCTATAGCCCAAATATCACCCTGGATACCATTGAGAACCACCTGCAACTTGGAGAGCTACCAGCTTTGGCACTGTATCCATTTGCTAATGACTGAGCTGTGCAATACTGAAGTATCTGGATTTAATTATATATCATTAATAGAAATTACAGAAATTCAAATTTCTAGTATCCAGCAATATTTGGAAAGGCTAGAAGTATTTTTTCAACATTACCAGTAACCTTAAAATAATAAAAAGATGACTAGATTCAGACCATGACCCACTGCCTGAAATGCTACCATTTCAAGACCCAGGGAGGTGATTGAGCAGGGATTATAAATAATGATCAGCTGAAAGTAGCTAGGCAGCAGCAAGAGACAGTGGGGAGACTTCAAAGGCTGCCCTTCAATGGCAGCATCACCTCCCCACACCTCCAAATAGTCTCTATTCGGGACTCTGCCCCTGTGATATAATTGACTGCTGATAACCTAAAATATTATCCTTCCCTGGCCAATGTTTATAGTTAGGTTCTACGAAAATGTCTATATCTGCTTTTCGTAAACATCCTAGTGACCATACTCCTTATAAATCTGCAATTTATAATCTTCAGTTCTTAGCACGAAAATTTAAAAATAACTCCCTTCTTGAAAAAAATTCAAATCTCATGTATACTATGGTCTTATAGTGGGGCTGGAGACTAACATTCGTGTTATCTATTCACACGCCGACATTTCTGCTTTCCTCACAATCCGTTATATATTAATATCTTCCCACACGAGTCATGTGGCTCAGTGGAAATTGACTCCATTCCAGCTCCAGGGATGGATTCTGATCAGTCTAAGTTGATCATGGTAATCCAATCCCCTTGGTTTAGGAATCCAAGCTTTAAAAAATCAACACGTGGCAGTGTTCCACAGCTGGTATCGATCCAGAGGTGAACACAAGATTTAAGTTGGTACAATCAAATTATTCCATGATTGAGCATTTTCTCCCTCTGCAACTGGATGTGAACAAAGAAGCATGTGACCAGCATGCTGTTGAGATCCATCTGGCCACCATGCAGGAAGCCAGCTGAAGACCAGCCAACATATATAGGAAGGCAGAGTCGGGGAAAAAGATCACAGAGAAGCTGAGCCAGAGCCTTGATTATACTGTGCCTGGAGACAGCCTACCTTCAGACTTCCTGCTCCTAGAGTAGTAAATGTCCTCATGAATTAAGCTAGTTTGAACCAAGTGTTCTCTCACTTCTAGCTAAAAGCCTCCTGATTGGCACTACATATATGTTACAGATATTTTTGAATAAAGATAGTTATATATTTGAAGAAAACACCTGGGCCAGGCGCAGTGGCTCATGCCTGTAATCACAGCACTTTGGGAGGCCAAGGTGGGCAGATCACCTGAGGTCGGGACTTCGAGACCAGCCCGACCAACATGGAGAAACCCCGTCTCTACTAAAAATACAAAAAAATTACCTGGGTGTGGTGACGCATGCCTGTAATCCCAGCTACTCTGGAGGCTGAGGCAGGAGAATCGCTTGAACCTGGGAGGTGGAGGTTGCGGTGAGCCCAGATCGCACCATTGCACTCCAGCCTGGGCAACAAGAGCGAAACTCCATCTCAAAAAAAAAAAAGAAGAACATCTGATGGCTACCTACCAAACTGAACATTTAACCTCTAGTGAATGGCACTGGGATTAGTGGTGTGGGAGCCAATATTGACATGGGAGGAGTTTTATGTTTCATATTGTATGTCGCTACTCTTTTATTCTCACAATAAGTATACACAACTTTTTAGTAATAATGGTTTTAAGGTAGCTGGATGAAGAGATTGACTAGTACATCTTTCAAGAATATCTCCATACCTCAATATTCTGACTTTCTTCTTTATTATTATTCTAAGAGGCTTGAAACCACCAATTATATAAGAAAAATCATAATAGACAAGGTTTATGGTGTCTACCTGGCCCAAGCATCTGTTTACTGAGAAATAGCCTACTTTACTACTTTTCTCTCCCCACACCTCTGTCTCTCTCTCCTCTTCCCCACACCCCACCACACATACACAAACACAGACAGGCCCCACAAGCTACATTTCTACTATAGACCCTGCTGTCCTGGCCACAGCCTCTTAGCCTGGTAGTAGACACCTGACCAAAATATGCTTTCTGCCCTTGACTGAAAAGTTTGTCTTTCTGCTAATAATCAGGCAGAAAGAGAATTGTTTGGATCTCAGCAGCAGGGATTAGGTTAGACATAAAGAAAAATGATGGCTATGAGATACTTAATAATCTGTTATGAGATAATAATAATTTTATAATCACAGTATGTAATTCACTTCTAAGCTTTTTGTGTATTATGTGTTTCTCTTTAGTTATTTGGGCTTTTTGTTTGTTTGTTTGTTGTTTGTTTGTTTGAGACAGGGCTCGCTCTGTCAACCAGGCTGGAGTGTGGTGGCACGATCACAGCTCACTGCAGCCTCTACCTCCCAGGCTCAAGCAATCCTCCCACACCAGCCTCCCAAGTAGCTAGGACTACAGGCACGTGCCACCACACCCAGCTAATTTTTCTGGTTTTGTAAAGACAGGGTCTCACTATATTGCCTAGGCTGGTCTCAAACTCCTAGGCTTCCCAAAGTGCTAGAATAACAGGTGTGAGCCACCATCTTCAGCCTCTTTAGTTTCTAAAAGCACATGCCACCCTAACTTTGAATGCTTCCAATAAACTCCCTTCTTGCTTAAGGAACTAGAGATGTATTTCCAATAATTTCAATCAAGAGTCTTAAACTGCGACAAGTACGGAATTGAAGTTTAAGTGTTCAGTTATTACTTACTTCCATAGGCAATATTCAGATTTTTTTAAATGTCCAGAGAGAGGCACATCCACTGGAAGACCTAAGTAGAAGTGTCTGTTTGACTTGCCCAGGATGGTTGGCTTGCAGACCGTAGCTACATATAGCTCCTCAATGCCAGAGTGATGAAGAAATGGCCATCTCAAATGATACAATATTGGGGCTAAAATAAACTAAAGATAACAGCACATATTTCATAAATTACTAAAAAGGAAAACCACATTTTACCTTAGGTATGTTCTATACCCTGCTTTATTTCAAGAAAGACTTCAAGGAGGGTTATAAAAATGCATAACAGCTGGGTGCAGTGATTCATGCCTGTAATCCCAGCACTTTGGGAGGCCAAGCAGGTAGATCACTTGAGGTCAGGAGTTCGAGACCAGCCTGGCCAACATGGCGAAACCCTATCTCTACAACAATACAAAAGTTAGCTGGGCGTGGTGGTGCACACCTGTAATCCCAGCTACTTGGGAGACTGAGACAGGAGAATTGCTTGAACCCAGGAGGCGGAGGCTGCAGTTAGCTGAGATCATGCCACTGCACTGGGTGACAGAGTGAGACCATGTTTCAAAAAAAATGCATAACATACTATGATGATTAATTTTACGTATCAACTGGACTGGACCACAGTATCCAGTTATTTGATCAAACTTATTTTAAATGTTTCTGTGAAGGTGTTTTTCATGTGAGATTAATATTTTAATCAGGAGACTTTGAGTAAAGCAGATTATTCTCCATATTATCGAGGGGCCTCATCCAGTTAGAATTTTTAATAGAAAAGACTGACTTCCCCAAAAAGGAGGGAATTCTGCCAGCAGAGTGTCTTCTCACTCAAACTGCAACACCAACACTTTCCTGGCTCTCCAGCCTGCTGGCCTACCCTGCAGATTTTGGACTTGTAAGGCTCCACAATTGTATGAGCCAATTCTTTAAAATAAATAGATGACAGATATAGATAGATAGATAGATAGATAGATAGATAGACAGATAGATAGATACAAACATCTATTAGAGTTCTCTGGAAAACTCTAATAAAAGTATCAAAGAATTTATGATAAAATCATAAAATGAGGATGGGGAAAAGATAATGCAGGGATAAAGTTTTCATCCAAGATGCATGCCATAGATCTTGCACCCTTTTTAGATATGGGCCACAATTTTGACTCTGAGTTTCCTAGCAACCAACTCAAAAAAGTAAACCTAATTATATATATAATTTAAGAGTATCCATAAAATAAAAATATAGTTGACTTGAACAATGTGGAGGTGAGGGGTGCTGGCCATGAATGTAGTCAAAAGTCCACTTAACTACTAATAGCTACTGTTGACTGGAAGCCTTACCTATAACATAAACAGTCAACTAACACATATTTTGTATGCTGCATATATTTATATACTGTATTCTTACAATAAGATAATCTAGAGAAAAGAAAATGTTAAGAAAATTATAAGTAAAAAATATACTTACATCATCTTCACACTGAGTAGGCTGAAGAGGAAGAGAAGGGGTTGTTGGTCTTGCTGTCTCAGGGGTGGCAAAGGCAGAAGCAAATTCATGTATACTAATCACCCGAGAATGCAAATCAAAACCACAATGAGATACCCATCTCATACCAGCTAGAATGGCCTTATTATTAAAAAGCCAAAAAATTACAGATCTTGGCAAGGCTGCAGAAAAAAGAGAACAATTACACATTGTTGATGGGAATGCAAATTAGTTCAGCCACTGTGGAAAGCAGTTTGGAGATTTAGCAAAGAACTTAAAACAAAACTTACTATTTGACCCAGCAATCCCATTACCAGTTATATACCCCAGAGAAAATAAATGCCACATGTTCTCACTTATAAGTGGGAACTAAACATTGGGAACACATGGACATAAAGAAAGGAACAATAGAACTGGGGGCTGGGCGCAGTGGCTTATGCCTCTAATCTCAGCACTTTGGGAGGCCGAGGTGGGTCGATCACCTGAGGTCAGGAGTTAGAGAGCAGCCTGACCAATACGATGAAACCTCATCTCTACTAAAATATAAAAACTTAGCCCAGCTTGGTAGTGCATGCCTGTAGTCCCAGCTACTTGGAAGGCTGAAGCACCAGAATCACTTGAGCCCGAGAGGTTGAGGCTGCAGTGAGCCAAGATCGCAATACTGCACTCCAGCCTGGGTGACACAGAAAGACACTGTCTCAAAAAATAAAAAATAATAATAAAAATAAAAATAGACACTGGGGACTACTAGAGGGAGGAGAGAGGGTGTGGGGCCAGAGCTGAAAAACTACCTACTGGATACTATGCCCACTGCCTGGGGGACAGGATCATTCATAGCCCAAACCTCAACATCATGCAATAAACTCATGTAACAAACCTGCATATGTAGCCTCTGATTCTAAAATAAAAGTTAAAATTAGTTTTTTTTTAAGAACCTCCAAAAAATAAAATTTATGTATAAGTAGATCCACGCAGTTTAAACACAGGCCATTCAGGAGTCAACTATATTTGTCTTTTGCTCAAGACATATACAACTGATATTGTCTTTTTTTTTTTTTTTTTGAGACGGAGTCTCGCTCTGTCGCCCAGGCTGGAGTGCAGTGGCGCGATCTCGGCTCACTGCAAGCTCCGCCTCCCAGGTTCACGCCATTCTCCTGCCTCAGCCTCCCGAGTAGCTGGGACTACAGGCGCCCGCTACCACGCCCGGCTAATTTTTTGTATTTTTAGTAGAGACGGGGTTTCACCGTGTTAGCCAGGATGGTCTCGATCTCCTGACCTCGTGATCCGCCCGCCTCGGCCTCCCAAAGTGCTGGGATTACAGGCGTGAGCCACCGCGCCCGGCCTACAACTGATATTTTCTACTGTAAGACCCATAAAGAAGGGTTATGAGATCTGGTGAATAACGTCATCATATAAAGATAGACAAGTTCCTCAGAAACAAGAAACACTTTTGTGGGCTTATAACACATGTATATAGGAGGTACCCAGCACATAGTAGTTACCAGTAAATGATGATTGAAAGAATAATCAACCAGTTATCAAAATTTTGAATGACCAGTTGAATTAGCTATTTACATTTTTGGAGGACAAAATTTATTTCAGCCTTCACTAATAAGATTAACAAAATCAAGATTTCCACTGAAGTTTTTATATGAGATATGTTTTCACCACCAGGCTACCTCAATGCAGTAAAGGGACAGGAGCAACAAGCAATGCAATTTAGATCTTCCTTTGTCATTTGTAAAGTTTTTCAAATGTTTCTAAAATATGAAAAAAAAATAACTGACTATAAAGTTTCTACCTCCACTAGCAAGAGAAGCAGGAAAACATTTAAACCAGAGCAATATAACCTTAGCTTAGACATTGAGAGGAACTTTCTGGGCGCAGTTATGAGGTCTAGAAGCCATCCAAACTCCAGAATCCTACCCTTGATCAATGGGGAGATAAGTTTTCTTCTTTGAGTTTCTTTTTAGCTCATAAAAACATTAGCTCCCATAATTCTCCCACCCAAACAATAATAATGAAAATTGCATTTTCCCTTGAATTTGAACTAAAGGTTATCCCAGAAGCAGCGTATAACATGATAGCAAATTATCAAAATAGGAACTGTTATTCAGATATTAGAAACATCCAGACCATTCAAAACAAATGGATGTTTGATTTGTTAGCTATACTATATGAATGTTTTCCTGGAATGTTTTTCATTCAGTTATTTAATATAGTATAGATATAGTCCAGACTTTTATATTAGCTCTAGACCTGTCCATTGCACAGGGACAGTCTTTTACACTAACATGAAGTAAAGCACTATAAAAACATTAAAATTTTATTATACCTCAATGTAGTTTGCATATTTGTCCCTGCCCATATCTCATGTTGAATTGTAATACCCACTGTTGAAGGTAGGGCCTGGTGGGAGGTGTTTGGATCATGGGGTGGATCCCTCATGAATGGCTTGGGCCATTTCCTTGGTGATAAGTGAGATCTTGCTATGAGTTTACACAAGATCTGGTCGTTTAAAAGTGTATGGCTCCTCCCCCTATGCTCTCTCTTTCTCTCTCTTCTCTCTCTTGCTCCTCTTTTCGCCATGTGAAGCATATGCTCCCGCTTAATCTTCCATCATGAGTAAAAGCTCCCTCAGGCCTCCTCAGAAGCCAAGCAGATGCCAGCACCACACTTCCTTTATCTTCCCTCATGAGTAAAAGCTCCCTCAGGCCTTCTCAGAAGACAAACAGATGCCAGCACCACACTTCCTTTACACCCCGCAGAACTGTGAGCCAATTAACCTCTTTTCTTTCTAAATTACCCAGTCTTAGGGATTTCTTTATTGCAGGGCAAGAACAGCCTGTATTATCAAAGAAAGTAAGGTAAGTATTGCAAACTAAAAGAACTTCTTAGCCAACTAAAAGAACAGCCTGAAGTATCAAAGAAGGTTAGGTAAGTATTGCAAACTAAAAAGATTTCTTCAGAAATTTATTATTAATTCCAGCATAAACTTTTCCATTCCAACAAACTATTATTTTATAAATTCCAAAATTATATTTAATTTATATATAAGAATTTCCCCCACTCAACTTTATCATCATCACTTTTTACTAATTGCATTGTTTACTTGAATTACTTATTCAAAACAACATTTGATTATTACAAATAATGTTGCTCCATTTTAATTGAATCCTCGAGCAAGCCAGCATGCAGCTTCTCAGCTTGCATAGTAATTCATCAATATATTCATTATGTATTACTCACGGATAGGACATGGATTAAAATGAAAGATTTGGCTGAAGGTACATATGCTTTTCTTTAGGCAGAATAAAAGAGAAGAAATAAAATACATGTATAAAGCTACTTTTTTCTAACAGTTCAAATGCTTTATATTGTTTCAATTATTTTTAATGTTATGAGTCATCTTTAGGGAATTAAAAACATTTTTCTGCCTGTAACCCAGAGGGTGACTTTTTTTTAATCCACAGCCAAGGAGTGAATAACTTGAAGCCTACAACAGCTAACTCGTTAGTCTAAAGCTACAGAGAATCTTCCAGAGTCCAAAAGGCCAAACTTCCTGACTTAGTGCACTTTCTGTGACTTACAACAGGTATTTTTATATTTATAACAAGTAATTAGAAGGACCACAATTGCATTTTCATAGAATTTGTATGCTATCAGCAGCTACAAACTGACAGCTGGAGCAGAATCTTGCTCTACATTTAGAAGTATCTTTTAAGCCAGCACAGCGTTTTTTATTTTTTGTTAATAGATTTGAATACATTTAGGCCAGGATACACCGCCCAGCCCACCAGAATCCCCACCACTGCCTAACGTCTTACATTGGTGACTTCATCCTTTCAGAGGGCCTACCAAAGCCAAAGGCCTTTGAGTTTTTCCTTGACCTGTGTAGACTGTGTACTCTATTTCCAACTTAAAACTTAATTGTCCTTCATCTTTAAAGGCACTTCTTAATTCCTAAAGCTTTTTTTTTTTTTTCTGAGACAGTCTCACTCTTGTTGCCCAGGCTAGAGTGCAATGGTTCGATCTTGGCTCACTGCAACCTCCACCTCCCAGGTTCAAGCGATTCTCCTGCCTCAGCCTCCTGAGTAGCTGGGACCACAGGCATGCACCACCATGCCCAGCTAATTTTTGTATTTTTAGTAGAGACTGGGTTTCACCATGTTGGCCAAGCTGGTCTCGAACTCCTTACCTTAGGTGATCCACCCACCTCGGCCTCCTAAAGTGCTGGGATATAAAGTTTTCTTATTGTCATTCCTTCAATCTTCCAACTCAGTATCACTATCATCAATACACATTATTGACTGTATTCAGTCAGCAAATATCTGTTTTATTCTTATTAGTATGGTCCAGGGACAGCTGAGAGCAAACAAAATAGGCAAACAAAATGGGCAAAATAGGCAATCTGTCTCTCGTACTAGACTATGCACCCCTGGAAGGTAAAAATATCCTGCCTTCCAGGGGTGCACATTCTAGTAGAAGAGACAGATATAAACAAATCCAGATTAATGCTGTGGGTGGTAGAGTCCAGGAACTATTTTGAAGAGGATATCAGGAAGGTCTGTCTGAGGAGATGCCATTTTGAGCAGAGATGTGAATACAGAGAAGGTATGAGTCACACAAATGCTTAGGGAAGAACAAGTGAAAAAGCACCAAGACAGAAGCCTGCTTGATACACTTGTAGAATAATAAAAAAGAGCACAGAACATGGAGGAGACACAGGGAACGGGGTCAGAGGGCTGACCAGGGGCCAGTTCATGCATGGCTCTGGAAACCACAGTAAGGGCACAAGATTTTCTCCAAGTATGATGAGAACTATTGGAGACTTTGAACAAGGGAGTGACATGATTTGACTTGATACTTTTAAAAAATTAATGTGACTACTGTGTTCAGAATAGACTCTAAGGGGACAAATATCCTTAGGCACCTCCCTTCATTTTCGTTTTCATGAGACTTGTCTTACCACATATATTAGCTATTGTTCCAAGGGACTTGCAGCTCAACCTTTCTTTTGCAAACAGACCCTACCACCCTCTCCCCATTCCCACCATCCTCAAACACATTGCAGTTCACATTACAGGTTGAAATATAAAACAAACTCACATGAAAAAGTTTTCATGTGACTTTATGCAAGACAAACTAAATTTTTATGTACTTTAGATCATTGGTTCTCAAATCTATTTGTTCATCAAAATCACCTGGGAGCATGCGTGTGTGTGTGTGTGTGAGTGTGTGTGTGTGTGTGTGTGTGTGTGTGTGTGTGTTTGCTTGTTTGTTTTAAGGTCGAATTCTCTACTCCAGACCTAGCCCAAAAGAGAATCTTGAAGGTAGGGCCCAAGAATCTGCATTTTAAGTCAATCTTGAAGATTAGCTAGGCTTAGGAGCCACTATTATAAACTATAAGCTTTTCAGAAATTCAGAAACCATCAAAATCTGTCAGGGCTAAGCAATCAGAGAAAGTTCTGTGGCAGAAGCAGGATTTGACCAAGCAGAGGAGACTGTCAACTGTAGCAGACTGGAGACTGATGGATGGAGGAAAGGCACGGGTTCTCCAGGTCTGAGCATTACTATGACGAAGGTAAGAGGCAACACGAACTGGTGCATGTGTGATCCTCTGAGAGGGTTAGACTCCCAGAAAGCAGGGGAGATGCAGCAAGGAGTGACAGGATGCAAATTAGGCAAGGAGGCACCTTACAGTTAGTTCCAGTGAATAATAGCTCCAGCTTCAAGAAAAAGAGGTATGACACAAAGAACATGAGAAAGGGAGTCATGACCCTACCAGAGTATTAGCCCAGCTCTGAACTTACCACCTAAAGCCCCTCTACAGGTGATTCTGAGGGATGATTCTGAGCCAAACGATATTTTGTCCAGATTTGTGACTCTATGTAAAATGAAAAGACAGGACTAAATGACATCTAAGGTTTTTGCAGATCGAACCTTTATAATTCTATTTTTAAGTCCTACTATTTCTTCATTTCCAACAAGTCCATTTAAGTATTCTTTGCTGTTCTTTGAATTCTATTTCTCTCCAGTATGGAGAGACTAAACCGCCAAGTAATGTGGGCATTGGTAGGTGATGTTTTTCATTAATCTCACAATAGGCAGCCCTGCATCTACATTCTAGTAGCAATCAACCTGGAACAATACACACCTTTCTCCAAGGCTTGCTCTATAGACTCTGTGACCTTAATACTGATTTTTTGACAAAGATAAGGCCTTAAAAACACACACACACAGAAGACAGATTCATATGCCACATTGACCTGGAAGAATAAAACTCTGCAGTAAACAACATGTTAGATAAATCTGACATGACAAGCATTTCTGTGGTAGTAGTCATTTTTCCCAAAGGACTTAGTGATATATGAAGACTAACATACTCATGGGATAAAGACTGCACCTTCTGTTTCCAAGTATACGTGACACAATGCAAAATCAATTTTCTCCTCTTTTCAAAGTTAGTTCCAATCTGTCAAGATCCATCCCTCTTTGGTCTCATCTCTAGCTATGTCCCTTTTTCCATCATATTATTTCAAGACTACCATTGCAAATCACACAGATGAAGATTCAATGGAAGATATGTTGCTTCTGGAAGAAAATTTAGTATTATCTACTTTTAAACTGTCTTGCAGAAAGCTCATGAGATTATTCTCTGGAACAATTCTTTAGTTATTTTCTATAAAGTTAAGAGTAATGTCCAAGGGAGATTTCAAGGACAAGGGAATTATGATAAAGGTCCGCAAATGAAGCAAAAAGCAAAATGAAGTTAATAAAGCCTCTTTTTCTTGAGTCTGCCTAGTGCTATCACCCTGTACTAGATTAGGACTATCTGATGGCTTTTCCGAGTTCCCAACAAAAGACTTTCAGGATAAAAGCTGTTGAGGAAATAGAACGATTTACTCTGGAAGACCTAGTTCTGTTTCTCTTATATGATTTGGGTCCTGACAAATTATCTCTTTAAAGGTGATCCTAGGATGTAATGGAACTGATTTTCTATTGTAAAATCCCCAAGTAAAGAGTACCAGTAGCAAACCCCATTCATTGTTTTCTGACCTCTGTTTATTAGAGTCAAGTATTAAAAAAAAAAAAAAAAAAAAAGCATACAAGAGAATTTCAAAAGGTAAGAAGCTTGTAGAAAAAGGATAATGTCAAGACAAATGTCACTATGCATAAAAGCCAGTATATACTTGTTACGATGGCCATAAATCTGGGCACATACATGATGGATAAAAGAGACAGGGGTGGCCGGGCGCAGTGGCTCACGCCTGTAATCCTAGCACTTTGGGAGGCAGAGGCGGGCGGATCACGGGGTCAGGAGATTGAGACCATCCTAACACGGTGAAACCCCATCTCTACTAAAAATACAAAAAATTAGCCGGGCGTGGTGTCGGGCGCCTGTAGTCCCAGCTACTCGGGATGCTGAGGCAGGAGAATGGCGTGAATTCGGGAGGCGGAGCTTGCAGTGAGCCGAGATCGCGCCACTGCACTCCAGACTGGGCGACAGAACCAGACTCCGTCTCAAAAAAAAAAGAGACAGGAGTCTCTCTTGGCTGTAAATTATCAGGAATAGTTTTTTGAAAAATCAGATTTGAACCGGACTTTAAGAGATCAGCAAAGTTAAAACCTTAATTTTCTTAGGGTGCCCTCTGAGTGTCCTGTCAGTTCTAGCAGCTACGTGGATTGTACATGCGTTCCCTTCTCTCCATCTCTTCTGCCGCTGTCCTAGTTCCAGCCACCATCGTCTCTCACCTAAATGCCTGCAAAAGCCTCTTTTCTGCTTCCACTTTGGCCCCCTCCAATCCATTTATTGTGTTGGCCTACTTTCAGTTCCTGGAACATACCAAGCCTTTTCTACCTCATTGCCCTTGTCTGCTGTTTTTACTGCTATAGAGTGTCTGGCACATAGTAGCTGCCCAATAAATACATGTTGAATCAATGAGTAATTGTTTCTTCTAGTTTGTAAGCTTCAGAAAGGCAAAGACCATGTTTATTTTACTCCCTACCTTATTCCCAGAAGCCAGCACAGCATCTAACACATAGAGGGTGTGCCACAAATAGTTACTGAAAAAAGAAAACAAGGAATGAAGAATTGAATGAACAAATACCAAATGTGCTGCATGAATTTTGGAAGGGTATGTTGTTATCCTTGTCATTATTATAATTCATAGTTCCTTTTGAAAGCATATAATAACATCATGACCCATCACAGAATAAAGATAGGAAAGTCTATGTTAGTATTTGCCATGTTAGAAATGTTTGATAATGATATCTTTGGCTAAATGTGCTATTTTGAAAAATAATGAATAGTAATAAAATTTCATAATTGCACATAAATTAGCCCTACAGCATTATTACTAATACCTACTGTCTGTATTTCCAAATCCTAACTAATAACTAAATATGCATGTTTTCAGTCATTTTAACAAGCTTTTTACATGGATATTAAAAACACTAGATATACAATAGAAACGATCTTATTAATATCCATGTAAGGTGGTTTGATTCCTATAAAATAATTGCATATGCTCAGAGAAACATCATGTTTTCATACTGAAGGTAATATTACTTCAGTCATACTTGCAAAATAAATTATACTTTTTTATTACATAAAGACATATGCCATTATCTGTTGGATTTAACAAACATACAACATCAAGGCTGATTCATATTTAGCATCTCAGGGTATACCATGTAGTAATAACATACTGCAAAAGGAAAATTGTTTTGTACTCTTCCTTGTAGATTATTCTTTCTTTCCCATTCCCCATGTAGTGGTGTTGTGGTTTTTAAGTAACACTTTCTAAGCACAGAGATGTGCATGGCACTTGACCAAAGTTAGTAACAAAATCATATTTTGTTAGTCCATGAGGAACAGTAATATAGTACAAAAAACAGTGCAAACCCAGAAAACAAGATGAGAGGGTTGCTTTTCACTGTGGTATCAAGAGAGCTGTAAATACCTCTTTTGAGTAAGAAATTTAAAAGCATATGATACATCTCGAGGAGTGTATATAAGATTTGCAAAGTATAAATTTGACCTCATTCACCACAATAAAAATTTTAATCTTATAAAAAAACTCTATCAACTATTTTTCCCAAGTCAGAAAAACAAAAATGGAACTTAAGATAAAAATAAGTTCAAGTTGAATAAAAGAAATTGGAAGTAAAGTTTCCTAAAAATTGAATTTGTTATTTTGTTCCAAGAGTACTGGTCCAGTTTTTAATAAGGCAAAACTCTTCAAAAGAACATTACACTGACCTTTCAGGAGTTATTTCTCTGGGATTATAACTGACCTTAATAATTCTTTGCTGTCAATTTTTATAATTAATTTAATTGATCTTCTGCTGGTATGTTAATAATGCAGATATTTTATTGTAAGAAACTATCCAGCTTCATTGTTTGCTTTTCTTCCTGACCATTAAAAATAACACAGTGCACATGATTTTTTTTAATTTGATATGTTTACAAACCAGGCTTTCCATACCAATTTTAATAACTTTCTTCTAACTAGAGAGAAAACTGGAAAGTATAGAAAAGCTCTAATATAACACCATAATTCTACCTTCAAAAGAATCATGAGTAACATTTTCATGTGTCTTTTTCTATTTAATGCATTTTAAGCAGTCATTCAGGCAATTAATCAACAAATATTTATTGATTGTCTGCTATGTACTAGTCATTATGCTAGTTACTGGCAATGCCATGACAAACAGAACAAAGATGGCTGCCCCCATAGAACTCACGTAGTAGTGAAACTAACAAATATAATAGAGAAGTATAAATACTCTGAAGGAAAAGGATTTCTGCTAAATAGTATCATTTACAGAAATGAGGAACACTAGGAAAGAAAACATTTGAAGTAACCAAGAGTCTGGTTTTAGGCATGTTCAGTTTACAAGGGCCATTAGGTCCTCTGGATAGTGATGGTACCATATTGTTTCTAATGGTTTGTGGTCTGCTTCACTTGGCATTTTATGGGTATATCCTCATTTGAAAATTCATGTTTCTGTATGGTGATCTTAAAAATCTATCTAGAAATCCACCAAGATTCTGGCACCCAAAATGAACAAAACCAGATCCCTAGACTCTCTTACAGAATGCTGTCTTACAGGCTTATTTCTCCTGGACATGCTATAAGTGCTCTTTTATATTCATTATTTTATTTGTTCCTTACAATAGTCTTATGGATCATCCTGGGACAGACATTTGAAGCCCCATTAAGAATAAGGAAACTGAGACTCAAAATAGATGACCTGTTCAAGGTCACACAGCCAGTGAGTGAGGCCTGGAACTCTGGCTCCTATTCAACCACAAACCAGTTCTTTTTCATTTCAGCAGACTTTTGCACTTCACCATGATTTTAAAGTATATACATATAAATTGTTTAGTTCAATAAGTTTATTATGAAACTTGTTTTTTAAAAATGGAAGTACTACAGTTGGTCATGGAAGCTATAAAAACTCTCCCCATGGCTTTGAGAGCTTTGTTTACTGCTCATTGATCGCCATGACAATGCTACCATAAATAACCCCAGATAGATTGCTATGTATAATTACAGAAGACATCCATATGCATGAGTCACCTGTCAGCTCTCCAATCCCATCATTTCCATTACCTGTCAACATGTCATCAAGGACTCTGAGTTTATGACACAAACAAAACTTACTCTCTCAGGAAGTTGAAAATTATGCAACGCTACACAGATTCGTGGTTGAAGAAAACAAAATAAGCAATGCCCACTATTTATGAGGAAAGATGTGTATGCATTTTTCAGAACTGTTCTTTCTCCCACTTCCATAGTGTAAGGATACAGACTCAAAAACAGAAATTCAAATCCACTTTTTACTTGTGGTTGAACAATACCCACTGATTCACTTCACATCAACCTCAAGACGCAAGGCATGAAATTCTCTCTCTGAATCTTTTACAACAGACTACCAAATGGCAACTTACTGTTATGTGGTGCATGTCAGCCACAGCAATTTTTCAGGAAAGGCTTTGGTCACATGGACAGTATTCGTTTTGATGGGTCAGTACGAACAAGAAGACATTTGGACTGAGAAGGCTGGCCAGGTGCAGTGGCTCATGCCAGTAATTGCAACATTTTGGGATGCTGAAGCAGGAGGGTTACTTGAGGTCAGGAGTTTAAGACCAGCCCTGGCAACACAGCAAGATCCCATCTCTCAAAAAAAGAAAAATTTTAGATGGAGGAGGCTGTCAATAATATGAGACCAGAAAGGAATCAGAAGTCAGGAAAGACAGGCCAGCTCCAGGTTAGCAAGCTGAGCACTATGTAATTACTCAAACCCAGGAATGGGAAAAAGAATGAGATTACTAACAGTCAAGAGCCAGGAATCAATTAACCACAATGAGAAAGAGGCAAGAATACAATAATCCATGTAGATAATTCACAGGTAAGAGGAAGCAAGTAGTAGAGGTCCCAGCAAGTAAAAGATGTAAAGCCTGGGGAGACAAGTGAGTCAGTCCAAGGCATCAGTAGTCAAGGCACCATGTTGTAAATGTGACTCTGATACAAGATTTGTCTCATTCAAGGGCCTGTTAGATACTGCCTGCCAAGTCTCAGTGCACAGCTGCAAAGAGATAAGTGGCTTCACCTCTCTCAGAGACAGCTTCTGTTGGTTCTGAAAAAATACGCCAAAAATAAAAGCTCAAATAAGAGTAACTTTGCATTTTCTAATTGATCTAGTAAGTATATATGAATAAGTGTATGAGCCATTTAAACACAGGCTAATAATACACAAAACTGTACCCCTGAGTCTATTTCACTATCCATAGAAAATGACCAATATGGGAAATAATAATAATGATAGTGATAATAGTAAGAACTAACATTGCTATGTGTCAGGCACTTTTTATACAAGAAAATCACAGTAGGAATATTAATGGCTAATTTTATTGAGCACTTTTTAGCCACCAGGCTCTGTTTCTAGGTGCTTTATGTGATTCTTTTATTGCTCCCAATAATTCTCAGTGAGATACTGTTATGTCCATTTTACAAATGAGGCACAGAGGCATTATGCAGTTTTCTCAAGATCACACAGCTGGTGAGTTTGAATTTGAACTCATTTTCCAACCTCAGCAGCCACCATAGGAGGAAGGGCTAACCTGATACCAGACCTTACGATGGATCAAAAGAGAAGGGAAAATAGTTGCTCCATGCTCCAAAATCTTCCTCGTTTTCAATTCTGATTCCATCTAGCAAACAGTCTAAAACTCTCAAATTTCCTCCACCATCATATCCTTCATCTGACATCTGAAGATGCTAAAGGTAGGAAAGTAGCAAGGAACTAACATTTACTAAAAGCCTACTTAGTGCCGGATTCTATGCTCAATACTTTATATATGTGATCTCATCAGCAGACCCTTTGGGGGACCTTCAGAATGTTCAAACTTCCAATCAGGTCCCTCCAGAAATAGGACAGAAGATCAGAGCATCTCTTTACTAGTAGCAATCGTTGCACAAAGTCAGAGGGCAAACAACAAGTCATGTCCACAGGTCACAGCCAGACAGGTGAGTTTCAGAGGGGGATTTAGGTCAGAAATGGAAGGTAAAAACAGGAAGGGAACCTGTGACAGTCTCAATGAACACTACAGAAGAGAAATTCACTGGTGGGTGCCTGAACACTTACATGTTCATGATAGCCCTTGGTCTGAGGTATTCAGAAGAACAGACAAGTTCTTTGAACTTCTGAGGACTGAGCCAAGCTTCGTGTGTGGTGAATGAGTATCAGGCTCACTCAACACTGTCTTTCCAACCACTGACAAATATATGGGGGTAGTAATTCCTTTTCCACAATCAGATACTAAAAAATTGTAACAAACAGGAATATATCAAAAAGAAAATGAGGAATGAATACTCTCTTGGTCATGAGGGCAGAGGATAGTTAAGTGGCTTTCTCCACTTAATCTGTCTGCTCTAACCTCTCTCATGAGGGCATCTCACACATTAAGAAGGGACAAGAAAGCAACCAATTAAACATCTGTCACTACTTTCTTTTTAGTGTTTAATTTGAAACAACTTTCCATTTCCTTCTAAATGAGAGTTGATTATTCAAAGGAAAGCTGGCTGCATTGTACATGACTTTGGCTTGGCCCAGAAAGGCATTAATCAGCCAGTGCATCAACAGTGAAGCCTGCAGTTTCAACAAGATGAAAAAGGAATGTTTTCACAATAGTTCATCAAAGATGTCTGTGCGAGCATTGCACTCACTGACAATAAATTACAAGATTAATGAATATAGCCACCAGGGTGGTGCTCTGATTGTTACCCCCAAGCTGATTTTCTAACACTGCTAACAAAGGAGCCAAAAATCACATAATGAAACTATCATATCTAATGCCTATATGGCAACAGATATTGTCCATCGGTGAATGTGGGAAATGTTTCATGTTTTACTTGAATCTTAATTTTTCAGGTCTTCATTATAAGGGAGGTGACTACCCCAACTGACTTTGTGACATAAATCTATTTAGATCATTAGCTCTCACCCTCCTTAAGGAGCCCAAGTGTTTTTCCACTTCTGCTCCTTTTGCTTAGAAGGCACTTTGGCCAGTATTTATAACCCAAGAGGTACTACACCAAATGGTCATTTCCTTCATGATCATTCACAGCTACTCAAAAAATGTCCCTCTCTCACTTATCTCCCACCACATCCCCTCACGTGCCTTGTCTCCAGACTCATGGAGAAACTCATCTGTCCCCAAATACACCACGCAACTTTGTGCCTTTGATCATCATATTATTCGACTGGGGCTGTCATAACAAAATACCATGGGCTGGGAGGCTTAAACAACAAAAGTTTATTTTCCCACAGTTCTGGAGACAAAAAGTCCAAGATCAACATGCTGAAAAATTTGGTTTCTGATAATGGCTGTCTTCCTGGCTGGCAGATGGCCAGCTTCTCACTGTGTCTTCATATGACCTTTTCTCTGTGCATGCATGGAGGCAGAGAGTTCTGGTGTCTCTTCTTCTTATAAAGATATCAATCTTTTCAGATTATGGCGATTCATAGGCCCTCCTTAAAGGCCTTATCTCCAAATAGTTACATTGGGGGTCAGACCTTCAACATATGAACTTGGGGAAGGTGACACACAATTCAGTTCATAACACTTATGCACTACAACGAGCCCAGAAAGCATTTCTCTCTTCTCCACTGAGAGATGATCCACTGAGGTGTCCAGATTTCATCCAAGCATTCTTTTCCAAGAAGCCTTCCCCAGTCCCAGAATCCCAGTTGGGAATAATCTATTCCTACTGTGGAAATTATTGCATTCTCCTCCATGTTGTTTCTTATTAGTTGCTTATGTGTCTCCCTCCACTAAGTATTATAAGTTTTTTAACAACAAAAACTGTTATATTCATCTTGCATGGCCCACTACACCTAGACAGTCTTCTGTGTCGTGGTCACTCACTCCTATATCTTCTTTGCCTACCTCAGTGATACATAGTAGCCACTCAATAGATGAGAATAAATGAATTCTCTCCCTCTTTCTGCTACTGACATTTCGTCATTTCCCTTCAATGCCTTTTTTCCCTCTTCTTGAACTCTCTGATATAGTTTGATGTGTATCCCAACTCAAAGCTCATATTGAAATGTAACCCCCAATGTTGAAGGTGAGACCTGGTGGGAGGTGATTGGGTCATAAGAGTGGATCCCTCATGGCTTGGTACTGTAGTGATAGTGACTTCTCATGAGATCTGGTCATTTAAAAATACATAGCACTTCCTCCGTCACTGTCTTGCTCCTGCTTTTGCCATATGACGTGCCTGCCCCCTTTTACCTTCTGCCATGATTGTAAGTTTCCTGAAGCTTCCCCAGAAGCCAAGCAGACCTTGGCACCATGCTTCCTATAAAGCTTGCAGAACCATGAGCCAATTAAACTTCTTTTCTCATAAATTAGCCATTCTCAGGTATGTCTTTATAGCAATGTGAGGATGGACTAATACACATTCCCTTTTTCCTTTCCCACAACATGAATTAACATTTTTCAAGCCCCCTAAAAGTAGAGTTTGCTCTCTTCCCTGACTTCATCTCCTGTATTCTTTGCAAACAAACAATGACAGCTTCACCTATGAAGTTGCACTTTTATTCCAGCAATCCCAAAGTGCATCTGCAGCCCAGCCTCCTGTGGAGTTTGACTCCTGTATGCCCAGAGCCTTGCTTGGCATCTCTTGGATGTCCCACAGGCAGCCTGAACACAACAACCCATCTGAGTTTAACTCACCCCATATCAAATTAGCCTCCCAGTTCTGTAGATTAGACAGCCCCAACATTTCCCTTTCTGCTACTTCCTTTATTGAGCCAGGATGCTACTTTCCAGGACAATGATAACAATGATGGTGGGTGTGAGAGTGGGGTCAAAAAGTGGATGATGATGTGATTGGTGGTAGTGATGACAACAATAATAGCAACAACTTAATTATTTTTCCCAATTGCAGGCCTAGGCTCATTTCCACCACTCCCCTACATTCTCTTTTTGATCCCATCATACCAAATCCAATTTCCTCAGTTACATGTTATATTCCCTGCTGTTTCTTTCTATACACTGATCTCTCAGCCAGCAGAATCATCCTCCATCTTCTGCATCCAGTTGATTCTCACTCTTTCTTCAAGACTTAGGGTCAGCCACCACCTACTTTCGGAAGATTTCCAGGCTATCCTTTGTGCTCCAATGGCACAGAAAGCATACCTTTCCCATTACACTTGTGTTGGGATAAAATTTGGAAAGATAAACCAAGGGTTTTCCTTACTGACTGTCCTGATTTTCCTCTTACACAATTGAGACAGTGGTCTCCATTGACCCAGGAAAAAGATCATACACACACACACACACACACACACACACACACACACACCATGAACTATTCATATAAATAGAAATTGAGTATCATATTGTTTTCCTCAGTCACTAACTTGAATTATTCAGAGCACATGAGAACTTGGCTCAACTGTTTAAATATAAAAATATATATTGAGTTATACTAGGTATCATTTTCTTACTTACATTAAGTGAGCAGAGAACATTCTATTTCTTCATGGGTAAATGAAGAAATGAATGAATCTCAACTAAGAGTTATTCTACAGCACTGAGATGTTCTTGAGACTGCCATAGCTGCAGTCAATCTCAAAGTAGGTTTAAAAGCAATAAAATATCGAATAGAGTTGCAAAGTAGTCAGGTTTGGATTACATCCTTCAGACCAAGCCCATTATGTACAAATGATAGTGTGACTGTGAGATCTGCAACTGCCACTGCCATCTCACAGGGCTCCTTGAACAGTTTCATCAACATTGCCAAACACTAAATGATGAGACAGATCACCCTCATCCAGGGCCTGAAATGTTATCAATACTACAATATAGAAATGAGGTTTATCACATTTTAAAGTGGCTGGGTTTAAATGGATAACAGCAGAATACAAAGAGTTCTTTATGTACTCTTAGAAGACATAAGAAACCCTTAACAAATGGGATAAAACACAGCTTCACAAGCAAGAATAAATTTTGATTGAGCAGCTTCTCTCAGTTCAAGGACTGCAGTAGAACTAAGAGCTGAGGTTTGCTGAAAAAATGTCAGTGCAGGCAGACCAGCCCACAGTACTGAGGAATGTGGGAGGGATTAGTTCTATTTGACTAAGATTTCAAGATGACCACTCATCAATGTACACAAACTGCTTGATAAAAATGCTTCTGAAAGAAACTTATTCAATTGTCAAGGTTTTTAGTATGGGTGTAAATTTTATCCATCCCAATTTATTGTGAAAACAACTATTTACTGTCTAATAACTGGGTTTTTTAAATTTAATTCTACAAGTTACATTCAAACTAATGTTTGATTGCATTTAACCTACATTATCTTTCACAGACTGATTTTCTAAGGCAGAAGAAGACTAATAGTCCATGTTGCAAAGATCAACAGACCACAATTGTGATGACTCGAGCAAGCCATAAGATAACCCTTCTCAGAGCAGAGCGTGGAAATGTTCTTGCAGCCCCCATTACATGTGCAAAAAGTAATCATAAGTAATACATCACCTTCCCACACAAAGGGTAAAGAGATCCATATACACATATAACAGAGATAAGTGTAAAACAGCAGGACTAATATTCTTATAAAACTTACAGTAAGTCTCATTGCTTTGTAATTTTAATAAAAATTACCTTGAATTACAAACCATAATACCAAATAACCTTAATTCACATCATGAGGTATAAGTTACCAAGTACTTTCTTTTTTTTTTTTTTTTTTTTTTTGAGATGGAGTTTCGCTCTGTTGCCAAGCTGGAGTGCAATGAAGTGATCTCGGATCACTGCAACCTCCGCCTCCCTGGTTCAAGCAATTCTCCTGCCTTAGCCTCCTGAGTAGCTGGGATTACAGGCATGCGCCACCATGCCTGGCTAATTTTGTATTTTTAGTAGAGACGGGGTTTTGCCATGTTGGTCAGGCTGGTCTCAAACTCCCGACCTCACATGATCCGCCCGCCTCAGCCTCCCAAAGTGCTGAGATCCAAGTAATTTCATATATGTTATCTCATATATGATGTTTATAATATTACCCAAAGGTATCATCTCTAATTTCCGCCAAAGAAACTAAAGTTCAAAAAGGTGAAGTGGCTTGCCCAAGCGGTCATGCAACTGGTAAAGTCTGAGCCAGAGCTTCACCAATAAGTCTTCTAAATTCAGCATTTTTTCCAATGTACCACTGCTACCTCCATGTATCTATGTCTACTCAACTACATCGACATCCTATGAGCCAACTTCTTCAATAAACACTATGTTAAATGCTGGATATTCAAAGATAATCAGGTAAACTCACTCACCCCCCAAAAGCACACAATCTACTGTGAAGAGAGTAACACCATCAGCATTATCAAAAAAAAAAAAAGTAACTTTTAAAAATATTTACCATGTGCCATGCACTGTCCTAAGTTCTTTCCAATCATTATCTCAACTTAGTCCCATATAAACTCTGTGAGTTAGGTAGTAGTAATATCACCATACAGATGAGAAAATTAGGGCAAAAGCCAACTATTACAAATATTGACAAGTAGTAAAAAGAATAGTTCGGGCCAGGCACGGTGGCTCACTCCTGTAATCCCAGCACTTTGGGAGGCCGAAGCGGGTGGATCACTAGAGCTCAGGAGTTCGAGACCAGCCTGGCCAACATGGTGAAACCCCAAGGGTTTCACTAAAATACAAAAATACAAAAATTAGCTGGGTGTGGTGGTGGGAGCCTGTAATCCCAGCTACTCAGGAGGCTGAGGCAGGAGAATCTCTTGAACCAGAAGGCAGAGGTTGCAGTGAGCTGAGATCGAGCCACTGCACTCCAGCCTGGGCGACAGGGTAAGACTTCGTCTAAAAAATAAATAAATAAATAAGTAAATAAATAATAGTTTGGTACAAAAACAGCAATAAAGAAATGTCAACAAAATGGGTACTATTTGAGCTGGGCTGTAAAAGATGCACTGGGCTGTGAAGGATTGAAAGAAAGACGCTTATGGGCAAAAGACAGCATGAAAAAGGTAGCAAGGCTGACCAGAGGTACAAGGAGGAGCTGGTACCATTCCTTCTGAAAGTATTCCAATCAATAGAAAAAGAGGGAATCCTCCCTAACTCATTTTATGAGGCCAGCATCATCCTGATACCAAAGCCTGGCAGAGACACAACAAAAAAAGAGAATTTTAGACCAATATCCCTGATGAACATCGATGCAAAAATCCTCAATAAAATACTGGCAAACCGAATCCAGCAGCACATCAAAAAGCCTATCCACCATGATCAAGTGGGCTTCATCCCTGGGATGCAAGGCTGGTTCAACATACACAAATCAATAAACGTAATCCAGCATATAAACAGAACCAAAGACAAAAACCACATGATTATCTCAATACATGCAGAAAATGCCTTTGACAAAATTCAACAGCCCTTCATACTAAAAACTCTCAATAAATTAGGTAGTGATGGGACGTATCTCAAAATAATAAGAGCTATTTATGACAAACCCACAGCCAATATCATACCGAATGGGCAAAAACTGGAAGCATTCCCTTTGAAAACTGGCACAAGACAGGGATGCCCTCTCTCACCACTCCTATTCAACATAGTGTTGGAAGTTCTGGCCAGGGCAATCAGTCAGGAGAGAGAAATAAAGGGTATTCAATTAGGAAAAGAGGAAGTCAAATTGTCCTTGTTTGCAGATGACATGACTGTATATTTAGAAAACCCCATTGTCTCAGCCCAAAATCTCCTTCAGTTGATAAGCAACTTCAGCAATCTCAGGATACAAAATCAACGTGCAAAAATCACAAGCATTCTTATACACCAATAACAGACAAACAGAGAGCCAAATCATGAGTGAACTCCCATTCACAATTGCTTCAAAGAGAATAAAATACCTAGGAATCCAACTTACAAGGGATGTGAAGGACCTCTTCAAGGAGAACTACAAACCACTGCTCAATGTAATAAAAGAGGATACAAACAAATGGAAGAACATTCCATGCTCATGGGTAAGAAGAATCAATATCATGAAAATGGCCATACTGCCCAAAGTAATTTATAGATTCAATGCCATCCCCATCAAGGTACCAATGACTTTCTTCACAGAATTGGAAAAAACTACTTTAAAGTTCATATGGAACCAAAAAAGAGCCCACATTGCCAAGACAATCCTAAGCCAAAAGAACAAAGCTGGAGGCATCACACTACCTGACTTCAAACTATACTACAAGGCTACAGTAACCAAAACAGCATGGTATTGGTACCAAAACAGAGATATAGACCAATGGAACAGAACAGAGCCCTCAGAAATAATACCACACATCTACAACCATCTGATCTTTGACAAACCTGAGAAAAACAAGCAACGGGGAAAGGCTTCCCTATTTAATAAATGGTGCTGGGAAAACTGGCTAGCCCTATGTAAAAAACTGAAACTGGACCCCTTCCCTACACCTTATACAAAAATCAACTCAAGATGCATTAAAGATTTAAACATAAGACCTAAAACCATAAAAACCCTAGAAGAAAACCTAGGCAATACCATTCAGGACATAAGCACGGGCAAGGACTTCATGTCTAAAACACCAAAAGCAATGGCAACAAAAGCCAAAATTGACAAATGGGATCTAATTAAACTAAAGAGCTTCTGCACAGAAAAAGAAACTACCATCAGAGTGAACAGGCAACCTAGAGAATGGGAGAAAATTTTTGCAATCTACTCATCTGACAAAGGGCTAATATCCAGAATCTACAAAGAACTCAAACAAATTTACAGGAAAAAAACAACCCCATCAACAAGTGGGCAAAGGATATGAACAGACACTTCTCAAAAGAAGATATTTATGCAGTCAATAGACACATGAAAAAATGTTCATCATCACTGGCCATCAGAGAAATGCAAATCAAAACCACAATGAGATACCATCTCACACCAGTTAGAATGGCAATCATTAAAAAGTCAGGAAACAACAGGTGCTGGAGAGGATGTGGAGAAATAGGAACACTTCTACACTGTTGGTGGGACTGTAAACTAGTTGAACCATTGTGGAAGACAGTGTGGTGATTCCTCAGGGATCTAGAACTAGAAATACCATTTGACCCAGCCATCCCATTACTGGGTATATACCCAGAGGATTATAAATCATGCTGCTATAAAGGCACATGCACATGTATGTTTATTGCAGCACTATTCACAATAGCAAAGACTTGGAACCAACCCAAATGTCCAACAACAATAGACTGGATTAAGAAAATGTGGCACATATACACCATGGAATACTATGCAGCCATAAAAAATGATGAGTTCATGTCCTTTGTAGGGACATGTATGAAACTGGAAACCATCATTCTCAGCAAACTATCGCAAGAACAAAAAAACAAACATCGCATGTTCTCACTCATAGGTGGGAACTGAACAATGAGAACACATGGACACAGGAAGGGGAACATCACACACCGGGGCCTGTTGTGGGGTGGGGGGAGTGGGGAGGGAAAGCATTAGGAGATATACCTAATGTAAATGAGGAGTTAATGGGTGCAGCACACCAACATGGCACATGTATACATATGTAACAAACCTGCACGTTGTGCACATGTACCCTGAACTTAAAGTATAATAAAATAAAATAAAATAAAAATAAAAAGGTAGCAAGGCTGAAGAGCTACACTGCCTCCTCAAACATGTGATGTGCTCTTTGGCCTCCCTACCTGTGTGCTGTTCCTTTAGCTGGAATTCTCTTTCCTCTTATCCAACCTAACTACCTGTCGGGGCTTATTGATTAATTAGATACGACTGGAAAGAAAAATGACCTCAAGGATGACTCCAAAATATTTGAGTTGAATGATAGGAAGGCTGGAACTGCTAGCAACTGAAATGGAAGACAATGGGAGGAGGCATTTGAAGGGGAAGATGAGGGAAGCTGCAAATGCCCGCACCCAAGCATCCAGGCAAGCTGTTCACCCTCCACAGGCAGCATCTGCCGAAAGGATGAGAAGTATTTTTCTAATTTGCATAAAAGCAAATGGTATGATAACTTTAAGAAAAATCACAGTTTGGTTTCACACATGTTAAGGGATTTTTAAATATATAGCCAAGTAATTTGTCAAGTAAACAGTTGAATGAACAAATTTGGAGATCCCTAAACAATTCCAGAAGAGGAAATATAACTTGGGAGTTGCCAGCTTAATTATACTATTTAAATCCATGAGACTGGATGAGATATCAATGGAGTGGGAACAAATAAAGGTGAGATCCAAGGACTAAGGTCTGGAATATCCAGTGTTAATAAACCAGGAGTAACAAGGGAGACCAAGAAAGAATAACCAGTGAAGTAGGAGGAAACTCAAGAGGTGTCCTGGAAAATGAGAAGACTAATGCCAAATGCTACTGGTAGAGCAAGTAAGACAAAGACTGAGAGGTGACCCCTGGAGTTAGCAATAGCCCAGTTTTTAGTAACTTTAAGAGCAGTTCTGGTGGAAGAGTAAGAAAGGAAGCTTAATTGGATTGGGTTTAAGAGAGAATGGGAGGTGAGGAGTTGGAGACAGGAAGAAAAGACAACTCTTTGGAAGTTTGGCTGTAAAGGAAAGCAGGAAAATGGAGCAGTCGCTGGCAATGGTACTAACTACCATTTGCTGTGTTTTAAGTTGGGAGACATAACTGCATGCCTGGAAATACTGGAAATTTTCCAGTATAGAAAGGGGAAACAATGATGAAGAACAAAGAAGAGAGAATTAGTGGAGTAATGTCCTTGAGTAGATAATAAATGATGGGATCCGGGGAACAAGTGAGATGACTGGCCTCGGCCAAGAGCACAGACACTTCTTTCATAAGGATAGGAGAAAAGGCAGAGTCCAGGGCACTGACACAGGTAGGCAGGTAGAAGTAGTGATGGGAATTCTGGCATGTCTATTCTTATCTATTTTCTCAGAGAAATGAGAAGGTAAGTCATCACCTGAGAGCAGGGACTGCAAAATACTGTAAGCATCACTGGCAAAATATTAAAGTCTGACACACGCATAAAAAGGAGTTATCAAGAATGAGGAACAAAAGAAACTCTCATTCGCTACTGGTGGTCATGAAAATTGGTAAGCCCACTTAGAAAATAGTAACATTATTCAGTAAAGGCAAACATGTGCATATAGTATGACCCAGTAATGCCATTCCTAGGTGTTTATCTTATAGAATTGTCTGTGCATGATTATTGTCCTGTACAAGAATAATCATGGCACGATGCTCTTACAAAAGGTGGTTTTAAAAAACTTTTTTCAAAGAAATGTTAACCAATCATCAATACAGTAGTTACCACTGGGAGGAAGGAGGAGGCTGTGATCATGAATGACCATACTGGAAGATTCTGAAGCAATAGCATGTCCTATTTCTTAACCTGGATGATTTGTTAAACTCTAAATATATGCTTTATGCATTTTATCCTTATTTTTTGTTTTTTTCTCTCACTTTAGCATGCATCAGAAGCATTCTTATTTAAACATTTTTTAATGTTTAATTTCAACATTAAAAAAATATTTTTAATCCCTTAGTCATGCCACTTAAAGTTAACCCGGTTACTTTTGATTTACGCTGTTTCACTGAATAAATAGTCTGTCAATTCAAGATTCTCTCCTTCCCCTACACCATGCTTCTCCTGCAATGATGACAAAATTTCCCAAGGGGTTTATATGAAATCCTGACAGCTGGAGAAAGGCATCTGCTCCACATGTAATTACCTGTACTCACCAGCATCTACAAAAGTGTAGCTCACCCCACCAGTCACCGGACATCATGCATTGGTATCTAACACACATGTATATACTCAGTTCCTGCCTCAACCCCATGCCAATCTCAAAGTCAGTGCACACCGAATCCTCCTCACTGAGACCTGTGCCCTCTTTCAACCAAGCGACCCTCTCAGCACTTTTGCAAGGCCCTGCAGGCTCAGGGAATTTCAGCCACTTTCTCTGTGCTGCCCTGTTGAGCATGAGGCCTTAGTGAAGCTGCCCGGGCTTATTCGTCATTTGCTGTCCGTCTTCCTGCACCCATACCATGGCAAGCAAGGAACAAATCTTCATGCTCTGGCCTTCTCCCAAATCTGCCATGTTTCTCCGGCTTCATCCTCTTCACATCCATTCCCTACAAATATCCACATGCTGCATCCCCTCTATTTTCAGGTTTATTTAATACATTTTGTCCTCTGAGTCCATCAGGCTCTGACTTTTAATATTTAACAACAAAAGCTTTGGGGATCTAGAAAATTCTCAAGTGCCTGGTGTTTGTCATTACCTTTAATTTTTTCCGGTTTGCTTCATGTACTGTGAAGCCCTGTGATTAGGCATATACTTATTTATGATTGTCACGTCATCCTTACAGAGTGAGCTTTTTAACACTACAAAGACTCCTTTATCTCTTATAATATCCTTTATCTCAAAACCTGTTTTATCTGATATTGATACAGTTTACTCAACCTTCGTTTTTTTTGTTTTTTTGTTTTTTGTTTTTTTGTTTTTGAGATGGAGACTCGCTCTGTCGCCCAGGCTGGAGTGCAGTGGTGTGATCTCAGCTCACTGCAATCTCTGCCTCCCAGGTTCAAGCGATTCTCCTGCCTCAGCCTCCTGAGTAGCTGGGATTACAAGCACCCACCACCACACATGGCTAATTTTTGTATTTTTAGTAGACTCCAAGGTTTCATCATGTTAGCCAGGCTGGTCTCGAACTCCTGACCTCAAATGATTCACCTGCCTCGGCCTCCCAAAGTGCTGGGATTACAGGCATGAGCCACTGCACCCGGCCAATTTTCAATCTATTTTAATATTGCCCTACAGGTTGCTGAGACTCTGTTTATTTTTTCCAGTCTTTGGAAATCTCTGCCCTTCAGCCTGGGTGATTTCATTTTTTAAAATTTTTACATTAGGTAATAATAAAAATAATGTTAATAATAATAATAAAATAAATAATAAAATAAAATATATATTTATATATA
This sequence comes from Homo sapiens, assembly GCF_000001405.40. Taxonomy (NCBI): domain Eukaryota; kingdom Metazoa; phylum Chordata; class Mammalia; order Primates; family Hominidae; genus Homo; species Homo sapiens. Next base: position 38,972,697 of record NC_000014.9, read on the forward strand.
ATAAAATATGTAATGAAGTAAATAAAATAAATAAAATATAATACATAATAAAATACAATAAAATTATTAATAATAATGTTCGTCTATTTAAGTAACAAACCCAAAGCAGTCACCAACTAATAAGAGTTAAAGTTCTGATCCCTGTACCCATACACACAGCTTTATACAATCTATCGCACACATTTTTATCCAGAACTGTCTGCGAAAAATTCTTTTGTTATTTTATTCTGTGTATATTTTATTTAAGTCTTTTTATTTGTTACTCTTATCAAAATTATTTGGTGAGTTTTTTTGCTTTTTCATAAATGATTTTTTTCAAAATGCTACTAAACAACCACATCAACCTTTAAACAATGAATTAAAATTAAAATTTAATATCTAAATAGTTTTTACAAAAGCAGAAATAGCTAAAAATTGAGTCTCAGGTTAAGTGAGAGGTGGAGGAGAGTTACTAATCTATATAGAATAATTTATAATCTGATCAGCAGAGTGACAGTGCTGAATGAGCTTTGAAAGATGGTTTTGTCTGATAAGAACTCATGTTGACACAAACCTTCTCTTTGTCCTGGAATCTTTTCTCAAAGGTATGCATGAGTGCACTAAAAAAGAATGACCAAGAGAAAGAAAAGTAAGAGCTGAGTTCCAGCCATGAGTTAGAGTGCTGACCAGAGGCAGTCAAAGCAGCCCCCAGCCTCTGTAAACTCAGCAGAGGATGCACCGTGTCCTGGCTTGGCTGTCCCCAAAAAAGCATGGGGGGCAGGACCCAGAGCAGGGCTCAGGAGGAGATGGCCCCTGTGGAGCTGGCATGGGAGAGAGCCCTATTTGTGTGAATGAGGAGCACTCCCTGCCCCTTGAGGAGTCACCTCAGGGGAGCTGGTCCTCCACACAGAGGCCACCCCTTCTTTCAGACTGCCATCCTCAGTTTATGATCCTGTCTCTGCCCTTTCCCCCAGAGGACATTTTCCTCCAGACCTTCCGCCTCCTTGCACAGAAAATGGAAGAGCTAGTTTCTTCCTCTTGCTCTTCATCATCTGAATCAGACTCATCGTTATAGAAGTATATCATGGCTTGCACTGGAAAACTGACCAGCACTTTTTCCCCAGAACACTGCAAATATTATTGACATTTCAAAAAGGGTAAGTAAAGTCTTACAGGATGCAGAAACCTGAAGACTTCCTTTAATCCAAAAGTTTCTTGATCTCCCCCAGGTTTAAATTGGCTTCCAGTTCTGGTCAGCTCAGCATCTGCAGGTGTCAGGATCACAGGTCTCCACGCTGTGAGGCTCCATGCTGGAGATGGTCCCCAGGGCAGTGACAGACGTGCCCCCATGCCTCCCAGCTCTGACCTACACCCCGGGTTGCCCCTGCACCCTGATCCACTAGGCCCAGTGCGCTCACCGAGATTGGGTGATTTCCATCCATCTTAAATTTCTAACTATGACTTCTATCATCTTCAATCTATGGGTTTTTTGTTGTTGTTGGTTGTTTTTTTTTTAAGTTTTTTGGGTACACAGTGGGTATATATATTTATGGGATACATGGTATGTTTTGCTACAGGTATGCAATGGGAAATAATCACACCATGGAGAATGGGGTATTCATCCCCTCATTATACTCTAAGTTGTTTTAAAATGTACAATTAAGTTATTATTGACTATTGTCACCCTGTTGTGCTATTGAATAGTAGGTCTTATTCATTCTTTCTATTTTTTGTACTTACTAACCATCCCTGTCTCCCCCTCAGTCCCCCACTACCCTCTACTCTCGATGTCCATCCTCTATTCTCTGTGTCCATGAGTTCAATTGTTTTGATCTTTCGATCCCACGAATAAGTGAGAACATGTGATGTTTGTCTTTCTGTGCCTGGCTTATTTCAGTTAACATAATAAGCTCCAATTCCATCCATGTTGTGGCAAATGACAGGATCTCATTCTTTTTTATGACTGAATAGTACTCCATTGTGTATATATACCACATTTTCTTTATCCATTCATCTGTTGATGGACACGTAGGTTGCTTCCAAATCTTAGCTATTGTGGACAGTGCAATCTACTTTTAAATCCACTGAGTAGATTTTTATTTCAGGTATTATATTTGTCAGTTCTAAAATTTTAATTTCACTGCATGTTCTCACTTATAAGAAGGAGCTAAACAATGTATACACATTAACATACAGACAGGAATAATAGGTGGTGGAGACTCCAAAAGGGAGGACAGGAGAAAGATAAGGAATGAAAAATTACCTATTGGGTACAATGTACAGTATTCTGGTGATAGGTACACTAGAAGCCCAGACTTCACTGCTAGGCAATATGTCCATGTAACAAAACTGCCCTTGTACTCTCTAAATCGACAAACATTAAAAATAAATAATAAAATTTTCATTTTGTTCTTTTTTATACTTTCAGTTTATTTGCTATTATATTTTAGCTACTTGTTCATTGTAAAATATTTCTCTTTTATATCTTTGAATGTAGCTATTACTGCTGCATTGAAATTCTTTTTTATTATTATACTTTAAGTTCTGGGATATATGTGCCAAACGTACGGGTTTGTTACATAGGTATACATGTGCCATGGTGATTTGCTGCATCCATCAACCCTTCATCTACATTAGATATTTCTCCTAATGCTATCCCTCCCCTTGCCCCACCACCCCTGACATGCCCCTGCGTGTAATGTTCCCTTCCCTGTGCCCATATGTTCTGATTGTTCAACTCCCACTTATGGGTGAGAACATGCGGTGTTTGGTTTTCTGTTCCTGTGTTAGTTTGCTGAGTATGATGGCTTCCAGCTTCATCCATGTCCCTGTAAAGGACATGAACTCATTCTTTTTTATGGCTGCATAGTATTTCATGGTGTTTATGTTCCACATTTTCTTTATCCAGTCTAACATTGATGGGCATTTGGGTTGGTCCCAAGTATTTTCTGTTGTGAATAGTGCTGCAATAAACATACATGTGCATGTGTATTTATAGCAGAATGATTTATAATCCTTTGGGTATATACCCAGCAATGGGATTGCCGAGTCAAATGGCATTTCTAGTTCTAGATCCTTGATGAATTGCCACAATGTCTTCCACAATGTTTGAGCTAATTTACACTCCCACCAACAATGTAAAAGCATTCCTATTTCTCCACATCCTCTCCAGCATCTGTTGTTTCCTGACTTTGTAATGATCTCCATTCTAACTGGCATGAGATGGTATCTCATTGTGGCTTTGATTTGCATTTCTCTAATGACAAGTATGAGCTTTTTGTCATATGTTTGTTGGCTACATAAATGTCTTCTTTTGATAAGTGTCTGTTCATATCCTTCACCCACTTTTTGATGGGGTTGTTTGGTTTTTTTTCTTGTAAATTTGTTTAAGTTCTTTGTAGATTCTAGATATTAGCCCTTTGCCAGATAGATAGGTTGCAAAAATTTTCTCCCATTCTGTAGGTTGCCTGTTCACTCTGATGATAGTTTCTTTTGCTGTGCAGAAGCTGTTTAGTTTAATTAGATCCCATTTGTCAATTATGCCTTTGTTGCCATTGCTTTTGGTGTTTTAGTCATGAAGTCTTTCCCATGCCTATGTCCTAAATGGTATTGCCTAGGTTTTCTTCTAGAGTTTTTATGGTTTTAGGTCTTATGTTTAAATCTTTAACGAATCTTGAGTTGATTTTTGTATAAGGTGTAGGGAAGGGGTCCAGTTTCAGTTTTCTGCATATGGCCAGCCAGTTTTCCCGACACTATTTATTAAATAGGGAATCCTTTCCCCATTGCTTGTTTTTGTCAGGTTTGTCAAAGATCAGATGGTTGTAGATGTGTGGTATTATTTCTTAGGGCTCTGTTCTGTTCCATTGGTCTGTATCTCTGTTTTGGTACCAGTACCATGTTGTTTTGGTTACTGCAGCCTTGTAGTATAATTTGAAGTCAGGTAGCGTGATACCTCCAGCTTTGTTCTTTTTGCTTAGGACTGTCTTGGCTATATGGGCTCTTTTTTGGTTCCATCTGATATTTAAAGTAGTTTTTTCTAATTCTGTGAAGAAAGTCAATGGTAGCTTGATGGGAATAGCATTGAACCTATAAATTACTTTGGGCAGTATGGCCATTTTCACGATATTGATTTTTCCTATCCATGAGCATGGAACGTTCTTCCATTTGTTTGTGTCCTCTCTTATTTCCTTGAGCAGTGGTTTGTAGTTCTCCTTGAAGAGGTCCTTCACATCCCTTGTAAGTTGGATTCCTAGGTATTTTATTCTCTTTGTAGCAATAGTGAATGGGATTCACTTATGATTTGGCTCTATGTGTGTCTATTATTGGTGTATAGGAATGCTTGTGATTTTTGCACATTGATTTTGTATCCTGAGACTTTGCTGAAGTTGTTTATCAGCTTAAGGAGTTTTTGGGCTGAAACAATGGGGTTTCCTAAATATACAATCATGTCTTCTACAAACAGATAATTTGACTTCCTCTGTTCCTATTTAAATACCCTTTATTTCTTTCTCCTGCCTGATTGCCCTGGCCAGAACTTCCAATACTATGTTAAATAAGAGTGGTGAGAGAGGGCATTCTTGTCTTTTGCTGGTTTTCAAAGGGAATGCTTCCAGCTTTTGCCCATTCAGTATGATATTGGCTGTGGGTTTGTCATAAATAGCTCTTATTATTTTGAGACATGTTCCGTCAATACCTAGTTTACTGAGTGTTTTTAGCATAAAGGGGTGTTGAATTTTATCAAAGGCCTTTTCTGCATCTATTGAGATAATCATGTGGTTTTTGTCATTGGTTCTCTTTATGTGATGGATTACGTTTGTTGATTTGCATATGTTGAACCAGCCTTGCATCCCAGGGATGAAGCTGACTTAATTGTGGTGGATAAGCTTTTTAATGTGCTGCTGGATTCGGTTTGCCAGTATTTTATTGAGGATTTTTGCATCGATGTTCATCAGGGATATTGGACTGAAATTTTCTTTTTTTTTGTTGTGTCTCTGCCAGGTTTTGGTAACAGGATGATCTTGGTTGCATAAAATGAGTTAGGGAGGATTCCCTCTCTTTTTATTGTTTGGAATACTTTCAGAAGGAATGGTACCAGCTCCTCCTTGTACCTCTGATAGAATTTGGCTGTGAATCCATCTGGTCCTGGGCTTTTTTTTGGTTGGTAGGCTATTAATTTCTGCCTCAATTTCAGAACTTATTCATCTATTCAGGGATTTGACTTCTTCCTGATTTAGTCTTGAGAGGGTGTATGTGTATTTATCCATTTCTTCTATATTTTCTAGTTTATTCACGTAGAGGTGTTTACAGTATTCTCCGATGGTAGTTTGTATTTCTGTGGAATCAGTAGTGACATCCCCCTCTCATTTTTTATTGTGTCTTTTTTATTCTTCTCTCTTTTCTTCTTTATTAGTCTGGCTAGCAGTCTATCAATTTTGTTAATCTTTTCAAAAAACCAGCTCCTGGATTCATTGATTTCTTGAAGGGTTTTTCGTGTCTCTATCTCCTTCAGTTCTGCTCTGATCTTAGTTATCTCTTGCCTTCTGCTAGCTTTTGAATTTTTTTGCTCTTGCTTCTCTAGTTTTTTTAATTGTGATGTTAGGGTGTCGATTTCAGATCTTTCCCACTTTCTCCTGTGGGCATTTAGTGCTATAAATTTTCCTCTAAACACTGCTTTAGCTGTGTCCCAGAGATTCTGCTACATTGTGTCTTTATTCTCATTGGTTTCAAAGAACTTATTTATTTCTGCCTAAATTTCGTTATTTACCCAGTAGTCATTCAGGAGCAGGTTTTTCAGTTTCCATGTAGTTGTGCAGTTTTTAGTGAGTTTCTTAATCCTGAGTTTTAATTTGATTGCACTGTGGTCTGAGAGACTGTTTGTTATGATTTCCATTCTTTTGCATTTGCTGAGGAGTGTTTTACTTCCAATTATATGGTTGATTTTAGAATAAGTGCTATGTGGTGCTGAGAAGAATGTGTATTCTGTTCATTTGGGGTGGAGAGTTCTGTAAATATCTATTAGGTCCACTTGGTCCAGAGCTGAGTTCAATATCCTTGTTAATTTTCTGTCTTGCTGATCTGTCTAATATTGACAGTGGGGTGTTAAAGCCTCCCACTATTATTGTGTGGAAGTCTAAGTCTCTTTGTAGGTCTCTAAGAACTTGCTTTATGCATCTGGGTGCTCCTGTATTGGGTGCATATATATTTAGGATTGTTAGCTCTTCTTCTTGCGTTGATCCCTTTATCATTATATAATGCCCTTCTTTGTCTTTTTTTTTTTTTTAATCTTTTTTGGTTTAAAGTCTGTTTTATCAGGGACTAGGATTGCAACCCCTGCTTTTTTTTTTTTCTTCTTTCCATTTGTTTGGTAAATCTTCCTCCATCCCTTTATTTTGAGCCTATGTGTGTCTTTGCATGTGAGATGGGTCCCCTGAATACAGCACACTGATGGGTCTTGACTCTTTATCCAATTTGCCAGTTTGTGTCTTTTAATTGGGGGATTTAGCCCATTTACATTTAAGGTTAATATTTTATGTGTGAATTTGATCTTGTCATTATGATGCTAGCTGGTTATTTTGCCCATTAGTTAATGCAGTTTCTTCATAGTGCCAATGTTCTTTACATTTTGGGTTGTTTTTGCAGTGGCTGCTACTGGTTTTTCCTTTCCATATTTAGTGCTTCCTTCAGGAGCTCTTGTAAGGCAGGCCTGGTGGTGACAGAATCCATCAGCATTTGCTTGTCTATAAAGGATTTTATTTCTCCTTCACTTATGAAGCTTAGTTTGGCTGCATATGAAATTCTGGGTTGAAAATTCTTTTCTTTAAGAATGTTGAATATTGGACCTCACTCTCTTCTGGCTTGTAGGGTTTCTGCAGAGAAATCCGCTGTTAGTCTGATGGGCTTCCCTTTGTGGGTAACCCAACCTTTCTCTCTGGCTGCCCTTAACATTTTTGCCTTCATTTCAACCTTGATGAATCTGATGATTATATGTCTTGGGGTTGCTCTTCTCAAGGAGTATCTCTGTGGTGTTCTCCGTATTTCCTGAATTTGAATGTTGGCCTGCCTTGCTAGGTTGGGGAAGTTCTCCTGGATAATATCTGGAAGTGTGTTTTCCAACTTGGTTTCATTCTCCCCGTCACTTTCAGGTACACCAATCGAACGTAGGTTTGGTCTTTTCACATAGCCCCATATTTCTTGAAGGCTTTGTTCGTTCCTTCATATTCTTTTTTCTCTAATCTTATCTTCACACTTTATTTTATTAAGTTGATCTTTAATTTCTGATATCCTTCCTTCCACTTGATCGATTCAGCTATTGACACTTGTGTATGCTTCACATAGTTCTCGTGCTGTGTTTTTCAGCTCCGTCAGGTCATTTATGTTCTCTCTAAATTGGTTATTCTAGTTAGCAATTCCTCTAACCTTTTTTCAAGGTTCTTAACTTCCTTGCATTGAGTTAAAACATGCTCCTTTAGCTAGGAGGAGTTTGTTATTACCCACCTTCTGAAGTCTACTTCTGCCAATTCATCAAACTCATTCTCTGTTCAGTTTTGTTTCCTTGCTGGTGAGGAGTTGTGATCCTTTGGAGGAGAAGAGGCATCCTGGTTTTTGGAATTTTCAGCGTTTTTGCACTGGTTTTTCCTCATCTTCGTGGATTTGTCTACCTTTGGTCTTTGATGTTGGTGACCTTCGAATGGAGTTTTAGCGTGGTCATCCTTTTTGTTGATGTTGATGCTATTGCTTTCTGTTTGTTAGTTTTCCTTCTAACAGTCAGGCCCCTCTGTTGCAGATCTGCTGTAGTTTGCTGGGGGTCCACTCCAGACCCTGTTTGCCTGGGTATCACCAGCAGAGGCTGCAGAACAGCAAAGATTGCTGCCTGCTCCTTCCTTTGGAAACTTCACCCCAGAGGGACACTGGCCTGATGCCAACCAGAGCTCTCCTGTATGAGGTGTCTGTCAACCACTACTGGGAGATATCTCCCCGTCAGGAGCCACAGGGGTCAGGGACCCTCTTGAGGAGGCAGTCTGTCCCTTAGCAGAGCTCAAGCGCTGTGCTGGGAGAACCGCTTCTCTCTTCAGAGCTGACAGGCAGGAATGTTTAAGTCTGCTGAAGTGCGCCCACAGGCACCCCTTCCCCCAGGTGCTCTGTCCCAGGGAGATGGGAGTTTTATCTATAAGCCCCTGACTGGGGCTGCTGCCTTTCTTTCAGAGACGCCCTGCACAGAGAGGAGGACTCTAGAGAGGCAATCTGGCTACAGCAGCTTTGCAATGCTGTGGTGGGCTCTGCCCAGTCTGAACTTCCTGGTGACTTTGTTTACACTGTGAGGGGAAAACCACCTACTCAAGCCTCAGTAATGGCAGTCTTCCCTCCCCCACCAAGCTCAAGCATCCCAGGCCAACTTCAGACTGCTGTGCTGGTGAGAATTTCAAGCCAGTGGATCTTAGCTTGCTGGGCTCTGTGCAGGTGGGGTCCACTGAGCAAAATCATTTGGCTCCCTGGCTTTAGTCCCCTTTCCGGGGGAGACAATGGTTCTGTCTCATGGAGTTCCAGGCGCCACTGGGGTACAAAAAAAAAACTCCGGCAGCTAGTTCAGTGTCTGCCCAAATGACCGCCTAGTTTTATGCTTGAAACCCAGGGCCCTTGTGGTGTAGGCACCCAAGAGAATCTCCTGTCTGTGGGTTGCAAAGGCCGTGGGAAAAGCATAGTATCTGGGCCAGATAGCACCATCCCTCACAACAGGGTCTCTCACAGCTTCCTTTGGCTAGGGGAGGGAGTTCCCTGACCCCTTGCCATTCCCGGGTGAGGCAATGGCAATGCCCCACCTTGCTTCTGCTCGCCCTCTGTGGGCTGCACCCACTGTCTAACCAGTCCCAATGAGATGAACCGGGTACCTCAGTCAGAAATGCAGAAATCATCTGCCTTCTGAGTTGGTCTGCTGGGAACTACAGACCGGAGCTGTTCATATTCAACCATCTTGCCCGGGAATCTGAAATTCTTTTTTGTTAAATCCAACATCTGGTTATCTTTGGGTCAGTCTTTTCAGTATGGGTCACATTTTCTTATATCTTCATGTCCAGTAATTTTGGATTATACCTGGATATTGTGAATGATACATTGTGGAAAATCTGGATTCTTTCTGTTTCTCCAAAGAGGTTCATTTTTGTTTGCTTATATTGGCAAAAAGTTAACTAGGCTGTACTCAAACTCCAGACTCTGAAATCTCAGTTCAGTTCTTTTGGCCTTGGCTGGGTAGCTTGGAGTCTTCCTGGACATGTGTAGCTCAGGGGGCAGTCAGATATTTTGGCAGTTAATATACAGGATTTGGGGGCTCCCTCTTTGTGGCTCTCTTTTCCAGGATTCCTTCCTTACCTTCAGCTGCTGGCTGCCTCAAGCCCTGTCCTCAGTAAGGATGTGGGTTTTCTATCTATGCTTTGTTTTCTTAGTATACCATCTGAGACTTCTCTTCAGGCTAAAATCTATAAGAAATTGGAAACCCACCCAGTGCCACTCCCTTTCTCCAAATGTCCATCCATAATTCATATGCATGTGCCTGCTTTGGCTTGATTTCTAATGCCTTCCGAAGGTTGTGTTTTTATTTTATGCAGAGTTTGTCGTTATTTGAGAGAGGGTTATTCTGACAGAAGCTACTCTACCATTACCAGAAGCAGAAACCAACACTTGCCATTAAAATCCAGAAATTTTCTGTCTATTGCCTCTAGTGTTTGTCTGATTTTTAATCCAGTTAGAAGCTCAATGAAATCTTTCCTTCTCTCTGTGCTTCCTTGTGTCCTTCCTTCCCTGGGGCTATAAGATTCAACCTCACTGTCTAATGTTAATGCTGAAAGTGCTAAAAGAAATAAGAAAACGCATAGATAAATATTTCAAAATATGCTTCTATAAATGTATGTATATTGTGGAGGAGTTACAACATTAAAACAATAATTTGAACGAATTAGGTCACCAGTCAAAGATGCCCTGAAGAAGGGCCAATGAGAAGAGGGAGTGCATAGGCAATAAAAACACCTAGAGCTAAAAACAAAACAAAACACACACACACACACACACACACACACACACACCTAGAGCTGAGTGAGAGACAGATGCAGGTGAAACCCCTTAGTGAGGTGGCAGCAAGGGGAGAAGAGGGAGACATCTGGCAGGTGAAGGAGATGCTCCAAAGATAGCATAGAACCCCTCAAAATGAGAAATCCCCAAATTTTAGAATAATTATTTCATGGCACTTTAAGACTGATACTTAACAAATTACCTAAATCTAAAAGCTTTATTTTAGAGACAAGGAGACTGAGCCCCACACTTTGCCTGACTCATAATTTAGTCAAGATGCCTACTCCTCCCAGCACAGTGTTGGTGCTGTCATATTATTTTTAGCAACAGCCTGGTACCTGTTCACACCTTCTTTTGGTTGGTTTTTTGACTAATCAACGTTGTGTGTGATAGCTTTAGGTCTCAGCCATTCAGGTGATGCTTAAACATGATGGGGAATTCTAACATAGAACTTTTTGGGTTTTTTTCTATGTATATCTCAGAGTTTAAGTCACAGCAGAGTGAATTGAAGCTTTTTTATGATTGTGTAGAAAACCCTAGGCTCCAACTCTCTTTTCTAATTATGATAAAGCCACGTGGCCTGTCTCGGATTGCTTGGCATAGTGTCCGGGTATCAGTGGCTCACAGGATTTTACAAAGAATAATTTGGATTAGCTCATAAATTTATTGAAGGAGGTATCTATTAGATGTTCCTGTCTGTCTGTGTGGCTGCTATTGACAATAATAAAATGATGTGAGTTTCAAATTCTCCTGTCCCATAATGCCTTCAGATTTTATCAGTCAGAATCTGCATTCTTTCCTAAGGTATCTTTTTATCATCTCAAATAAGAATGACAAGCTGAGATCATTGAATTTAAAAAATTTTATTTTAAATTCTGCTTCTATTTCCGCAGGTTTATCCTCTCCTCTCAATTTTGGTGTTATAATAAAGGTTAACATCTTCTGGACAAATCTATATATATCAAGATGAATAGAACAGTCTTTTTACTCAAAAGATAGAATGTGCTTCTAATGACAGCAATGGCCAAGTGAAGAGAGTAAACCACTGTTCACAACCCAAGGTCAAGAGTTGCTATAGTTTCTTTTGAAATGATGCCGCATACCCTTCTGCCTCCTGCCAAATAATAAGAGCCCACTCATTCAATCAGTAAGGTAACAAATAACTCCAAAGTGACCAATGCAATCAAAAAGCAACCTACCTTTAAAGGAAAATAAATGCAAGCATTAGGGCTTGTTTTTTTTTTTTCTTAAACAAAAAATATAAACGTCAATATTCTTTTAAAATCTATAATATTTACCATGTTATTTTTGGACTGCATAGCCCAAAGATAATTTAAAAGTTAGCATTTGGAAATAACAAAAACAGCAGACATCTTTTTTTTTTTAAGTTTTTCAGGTTTAATATTAGAATCCTCACTAAGAATATCTTCTCCAGTCCCCAACTACTGTTAGTTGCAGTGACAAGCCTGGTGACCTCTATACTATATAATCTAAATTCATGTATACTATTAATAAATATTTTCTAAATGCTGAATTCTAATCGTTCTTAAAACATAAAGTGATTTATTATTTCTAAAACACTACCTATGCAAATATACTACAGAATAAATGATATCTGATTAAGCAAATTTACAAAATCTCTAACAAACTCCACTAGGCTATGAGATAATATTCAGACACTGCCATCAAAATTCCATGCAAGGACCCTTAACCAATAACAATGGTCAGTGCCCATGAGCCGGAGCAGGAAGAGAGGTAAGAGACATCTTTTTGACACCTTCACATCCCTTTGACTCTTGGCCAGATTTTTTTCCCCGCCATGCCCCTAGCAGTTTTTGGACACTATCTTCCTTAGCCTGGACAAAGTAAATAATCAATACTGGCCCCCTTTAACCTCCAGACAACTTTATCCTATCTGAATATAGTTGGTGTATAATATTAATTGGACACTCACACCAACTTATTTTTTGTGAGTGTCCTATGGCTAATTTCAAACCCTCTGCTCTAAGTATTGAATGTATCCATTCAATGAACAAATATTTGAGTGCCTGCTAGATGTCAGGCAACATAACAAGACAGACCTAGACAAAGAAGGGGATGGGTGTTCCAGACAATGGAAGGCCTGTGTATAGTTTTCCTAGTGCCAACCAAGAGCATCTTTGGCTGCTGAGTTGCCTCTTGCCACTCGGCACACTAATCCATCTGGGATCTTGAGTGATCTTACCTCTGTTAATCTCAATCTATCTAAGACTTTATATCAAGAAAAATAAGATTTTATTGTATAAGTACTTATTTTAGTGGTAGTTTGTGATTCAGCCCGTTATTGTTAATCTTTGAAAATTAGACTTCAAACTATACTACAAGGCTACAGCAACCAAAACAGCATGGTACCGGTACCAAAACAGAGATATAGATCAATGGAACAGAACAGAGCCCTCAGAAATAACGCCGTGTATCTACAACTATCTGATCTTTGACAAACCTGACAAAAACAAGCAATGGGGAAAGGATTCCCTATTCAATAAATGGTGCTGGGAAAACTGGCTAGCCATATGTAGAAAGCTGAAACTGGATCCCTTCCTTACACCTTATACAAAAATTAATTCAAGATGGATTAAAGACTTAAACGTTAGACCTAAAACCATAAAAACCCTAGAAGAAAACCTAGGCATTACCATTCAGGACATAGGCATGGGCAAGGACTTCATGTCTAAAACACCAAAAGCAATGGCAACAAAAGCCAAAATTGACAAATGGGATCTAATTAAACTAAAGAGCTTCTGCACAGCAAAAGAAACTACCATCAGAGTGAACAGGCAACCTAGAGAATGGGAGAAAATTTTTGCAACCTACTCATCTGACAAAGGGCTAATATCCAATATCTACAATGAACTCAAACAAATTTACAAGAAAAAAACAAACAACCCCATCAAAAAGTGGGTGAAGGACATGAACAGACACTTCTCAAAAGAAGACATTTATGCAGCCAAAAAACACATGAAAACATGCTCACCATCACTGGCCATCAGAGAAATGCAAATCAAAACCACAATGAGATACCATCTCACACCAGTTAGAATGGCGATCATTAAAAAGTCAGGAAACAACAGGTGCTGGAGAGGATGTGGAGAAATAGGAATGCTTTCACACTGTTGGTGGGACTGTAAACTAGTTCAACCATTGTGGAAGTCAGTGTGGCGATTCCTCAGGGATCTAGAACTAGAAATACCATTTGACCCAGCCATCCCGTTACTGGGTATATACCCAAAGGACTATAAATCATGCTGCTATAAAGACACATGCACACGTATGTTTATTGTGGCACTATTCACAATAGCAAAGACTTGGAACCAACCCAAATGTCCAACAATGATAGACTGGATTAAGAAAATGGGGCACATATACACCATGGAATACTATGCAGCCATAAAAAATGATGAGTTCATGTCCTTTGTAGGGACATGGATGAAACTGGAAACCATCATTCTCAGCAAACTATGGCAAGAACAAAAAACCAAACACCGCATGTTCTCACTCATAGGTAGGAATTGAACAATGAGAACGCATGGACACAGGAAGGGGAACATCATACTCTGGGGACTGTTGTGGGGTGGGCGGAGGGGGGAGGGATAGCATTAGGAGATATACCTAATGCTAAATGACGAGTTAATAGGTGCAGCACACCAGCATGGCACATGTATACATATGTAACTAACCTGCACATTGTGCACATGTACCCTAAAACTTAAAGTATAATAATAATAAAATAAAAATAAATAAATAAAAAGAATACTGTAAACATAAAAAAAAAAGAAAATTAACCCATCAAGCTAATTTTCAAGAAAAAATGTGACAATCACATATTACGTCAATCTGATAGTATCTGATTTTTACACAACTGTATCAGATTTTTAAATGTAAAAAGTGCATTTTTGCATATATGCATCAGTGAGGCTAATAGTATAAATAACAAGTAAATAAAGTACAACTGACAGGTAAGAACAGTGGTACCAATATGGTCCCTAAGATAAATTACACTTTCTTTCATTTTGAAGTTTTTCTTTAGATACTCATACCCTCTGACTAAATTGCTTGAATAGATAAATTGTCATCACTAAGATACATGTAATTTGGGGCCTTTTGATGCTTCAGTAACAAAACAAAAATCAGTTTTTCATGTATCATAATTCCTTTAAGTCTTTATTGAACTAATTCATCTTAAAGCAAATTGAAAAACATAACTGAGAACTATACTTGGTTAGATTGGAAAAGAACATATTTGCTTGTAGTTTGGCACTGTAATTATATTTTTTAATACACAATGTCCCTGAGGGTTTTACATTAGAAATAATCCCCAGGGAATGTACTTTAAGACATGAATGCATACAAGTATACAGAAAATATTATTAACACATAAATATAATGTCTTCAGTTTTAAACAAATTAATTTTGTCCCTGCTTTAAAAAATATCTTTTCTTGTGTATGATGTCACAAAATGACATTAGAAGTACAATATTTAATATTAAAGCTGAAAAATAAAAATCAGGCTGTTGGAAGATAGTTATCTCAATTGATTGTTCATAGTTACAGATGGAACTCCTTGTTCTACTCTTTCCCCCTTCTCACTACTGCACTTGACTAGTCTTTAAATAAATAAGTACAAAAACTACCTCAAACTCATTCCTTTAAGGTAAATAAAAAAGAAAAATATATAATATAATTATATAGTATATGTAAAAAAAAAAAAAAAACTAAGACCAGCCTGGCCAACATGGTGAAAACCCGTCTCTACTAAATATACAAAAATTAGCTGGGCATGATGGCACATGCCTGTAAACCCAGCTACTCAGGAGTCTGATGAACCCAGGAGCCAGAGGTTGCAGTGAGACAAGATACAGCCACTGCACTTCAGCCTGGGCGACACAGCAAAACTCCATCTCAAAAAACAAAAACTAGATGAGGGTGATATCAAGTAAGAATACCAGCATGCTGCAGGAAAAATAAAGAATGCTACCTCATTTCAGATAGAAACAAAAATATGTCTCCAGAGTTTAGCTCTTCCTACTACAGTTTTCTAGAAACAACTGAAAAGGACAGGGGAAGAAGGGAACTTCCTGACATCCTATGCTCTGTGATAGGCTCAGGGGACTTATTAGGGAACAGAGCAGACATGTTCCCTGCCCTTATAGACTTTACATGAGACAGACTGACAAGAACTGAGAAAATATAGTCTTACAAACAATGATGAAGCAACCAAGTGCTATGAGAGAGAACAATGAAAAACTCTGCTTCAGATGAAGACCTACTCATCACCAGTTCCCGAAGATAAATACACAAAAGGCTTTTTGTTGCTAGTTTTAATGTTTTTGTTGTTAATTACTATGAAACGTGACAAAAATAAATGACATTATGAAAATTTAAGAAACCTTACCTAGAGCTTATAAACATTGTCCCTGGGCTGTATTAGTTCCTGACTTGTTTTTTCTCAAATCATAATGAAGCCATAGTGTTTACTTCATATTTAAAAAAAAATTGTGAAGAATAATAATCCATTTCAAGAATGGCTTGTGCATATATTTAACCCCAGCGATGGTACCACACAGAATCTATTGTCCTTGGCCTGGCCAGCATGGAAAATATAAATGGGAATACGTAACACAGTTGCAGTACTCTATCTCGTCTCTTAACCACCAGTTTCAGGCTCCATAAAATCAATTCAACAGAGACAGATATTGATCATGAAGACAGCTAAAGCAAAGAGATCAACTCTGTCCATTTCTTCTCATTTTTCTAGCAGTTCCTCAAGGTCAGGGAACATGTCTACCTCATTCTGTAAATCTTCATTAGGCCTAAGACAGGGCCATTCACAAAAGGGGTCCCTCCAGGTACCCTTGAGGGAAGAGAAGGTATTAAAGGATTCAGTGAGTTATTTTCCCTGAAAGTAAACGCAGCCTCTTGAAACAGTGAATACATAAATCTGACTGAGAAAAGATGCATGGGGCTGGGCACAGTGGCTTACACCTGTAATCCCAGCACTTTGGGGAGCCCAGGCAGGAAGATAGCTTGAGCCTAGTAGTTCGAGATAGCCTGGGCAACACAGTGAGGCCCCTGTCTCTATAAAAAATAAACAAAATTAACCAGGCATGGTGGCACACGCCTGTAGTCCCAGCTACTCAGGAGAACGAGGTGAGATGATCGCTGAAGTCTGGGAGAGTGAGGCTGCAGTGAGCCATGATCATGCCACTGCACTCCAGCCTAGGCAATAGAGAGAGAGAGAGAGAAAGAAAAGAAAGAAAGAAAAGAAAGAAAGAAAGAAAAGAAAGAAAGAAAGAAAGAAAGAAAGAAAGAAAGAAAGAAAGAAAGAAAGAAAGAAAGAAAGAAAGGGAAAGAAAAGAAAATAAAAGAAAGGGAGGGAGGGAGAGAGAAAGGAAAGGAAAGGAAGAAAAGAAAAGAAAGAAATAAGGGAGAAAGAAAAAGAAAGAAAGAAGAAAGAAAGAGACAGAAAGAGAGAGAGGGAGGAAGGAAGGAAGGAAGGAAGGAAGGAAGGAAGGAAGGAAGGAAGGAAGGAAAGGAGTGCATGTGAGAAAGTCGTAGTGACGAGATTGGATGGTGTGTTGGGGGATAGCCTGAGAAAGGCCTGGACAACCAGGTCAGGGAGCTGGAACTCTGTAGAAAATGAAGTCATCAAAGGGAACTCCAGATGCACTACTTAATGCTGGAAGGAGACTACAGGGAGCTTGGAAGGAAAGAGAGACAGAATCTACAGAAACTGTCAGGATGTGATTAAGAAAGACAGTGGAAAGGGATGATGATGGCGAGAGATATGATGATAATTGAGTCATAGTGATTAATGATAAGAAAGAATATAGAAGAGGAGGAAAGTAAAGATGACTCCAAGGCTCCCACTCACTTGCCTGAAAGAAGAGTAAAGCCACTGACAAATGGGATCTCATGGAAATCAGAAGGGGAGTCAGTTTGGAGGGACGATGATAAATTTGGTTTTAACCATGTTGAGTTTGAGATGACACTGAAGATCTTAAATGGAAATATTCAATTGGCAGTTTGTTATTTATTTGGAATTATAATCCTTTTTTAAAAGATTGAATTAGTTTGATTAAATTCAAAACAACACAAGGTACAATTTTTTTTAATGACAGCAATACAAAAGCCCACTGAAATAATTAGAGGAATAGCCATTACCAGATATCAATGAGTTAATTAGGAAACAACTGGAAGCTCAGAGCTGGAGCTCAGGAAAGAGGTAGGTTTAGAACTATAAATGCAGGTGTCATCTGCATACAAATATTTTTAAGAATTCTAGGTCAGTCCCTGTGCTCTCAGAGGGATGTCCAAGGGAAAGAATACAGTCACGGCTTCTTAGCTTCGGTTTCTGTTTCTGTTTGGGCTGGTAAAGCCCTTTCCTCTTCCCTCTTTTCTGCTTATCACTACAGACAGAAACTAAAAACCATGGCTTCAAGGCTGCTAAAAGCCTAAAACAAAGCAAAACAGGACAACAACAACAAAATATGGTGAGTTGGACAAGCTTGTTAGGGTGTGTAGGAGGAACAAGAAAGGCTCCAGAATGGGATTAAGAAGGTGGTTGGGTGCAATGACTCACACCATAATCCCAGCACTTTGGGAGGCCAAGGTGGGAGGATCCCTTGAAGCCAGTAAGTAGTTTGAGGCAAGCCTGGTTAACTAAAGGAAACTTTGTCTCTATAAAAGAAGGCAAAAGAGAAATAACTGGAGCCCAGAGGATTTTTCTTGAAGCCACATTTGCACAAAAAGAGCACTGGGTTTTGTATGTTTGTTTGCTTGTTTGTTTTTAAGACTTAAAGTTTTTTGGTAACAGGAAGCATAAAGCTCCCTCCCCAAGTCACCCCTTGGCTCTAACAATGGTGCTAAACAAAGGAAGCCCTCTGCCCTCATGGAGCTAACAGACTAGTCTAGGAAAGAAATCATTTTGCAAGAGAAGGTAAAAGGTAAGGCAAAGAAGGAAAATAAATTATGTAAGAGAATACTTCAGATGGGATGGGGGACATAATTCAGATTATAAAAATCAAGAAAGGCCATCTAAGTGATGGTGGAGCTAAAGCCTGAAGAATGAGTTGGAGGAAGCCAGAGGAGAGAGATGTGCCGACAGAATAGCATGTGCAAAGGCCCTGGGGAAGAAAAGGTCTTGCTATTCTTGAGGAGCAGGGATAAAAGGGCAGGTGGCCGGTTCAGAAAGCAAAGAGGACAGTGCACAATACTAGGTTAAATAGGTAGTAGACATTTTACAGATGAGTCCTTTCTGAGGACTCTTAACCTCAAGAAAGTTAAGTAACACACCCAAGCTTACCCAGCTGGAAACTGAAAGCCAGTCCCAGAATCTAGGTCCGTTTGACTCAAAGTCTATACTCCTATCCCCTCCAGCAGACTTCCCAAATCTTCCAGATTTTAAGACTTACTTGAGCTGCTTGTTAATATACAGTTTCCAGGCCTATCCTAAAACTCCAGAACCAAAATTCCATAAAGAGCAGCATCAGGTAGAGTCCCTCAGGAAAGAGACAGTACGTTCAAAGTGGATAATTTGAGAGGAGCTTAATAAAGGTCCTAGATTAGTCCCTAATACAGGAGGGAAGCCCAATCTCCAAAATCTTCTGTTTCTCCCACTTAAAAATGTAGAAAACATGCACTCACTGAACCAAAGATGATGCCTGTGAGTTCAGTGCCATCATTCTGTCAATTAATTTGGCTTTCACATAAGGGGCTGTTTTGCTAGAATACAGAATTACTACATTATGAAATGCTAATTGTTTTTGCTATCCTGCAAGACTTGCCTGGAATATGAGATGCGCATTAAGATATAATATAATTGTGGCTGCTCTTACCCTATTCAAATGTATTTTTCATCTCCAACAGGCTCAGGTAAGTGGCCCTTATTTTTTTAATTTCCAGCATCCTACTCTATCTCCCACCTCTTGCAGCCTAGGGACTCTTCCCTAATATTAAAACAATAGTGAGACTTCTTGTTTTAAACAAACGTATTAGAACTTCTGCATGCAAATAAGTCTTATCTTTCTAAATAATCACCTTGGAAGGCTCAATATTTAGTCCACATGGCTGCATTTTTATACCAGTGAACTCTTATTAAAATACTATATTAAGATAAACTCTGAAAGAGAAAAGAAGACTCATCAGAGAAGGATGACATATATCAGCTTGCGAGCTACGTGTAAAGGCAGGGCTACATTCTGCATTAACGGCCATGGAGAGTTTACTGGTAAGCAGAAACCTTGGTTCTTCTTTACCACCAGCTGGTAAACCCTCCTCTTAGCCTCCTTGCCAGCTGCCCCCTCTGATTCAGTCCCATTACCTGATCAGGACAGAATGAAATACATAACTGATGGAAGTGTTGCTAAAAAAAATGAGGTGGAGAGGAAGAAGGGAGGGAGGGAGGGAAGGAAGGAAGGAAAGAAGGGAGGGAGGGAGGGAGGGAGGGAATCAAGGGGAAATAAATGCCTTTTGGAGAAGTACCTGAAATTCTGGTGTCAATAAGACATTATTAAGCACTCATGTTGCAGAGTGTGAGCTGTTTATACTTGTAAATACTTGAAGCTGCTGAAGTGTTCAACCACAGTGGGTTGGTTAAATAAATAGATTACGGACTGTCCATATGAGATGCAGCAGGGGCCCCTCTTAGGGGCCTGAAGGCCCCCCAAGCATAGAAATAAAGGAAAGTCTTGAGTTCCTTCAAAGGAAATTCCAAGCGCCAAGGAAGTCCTAAAAAGTAAATAAGTAACTTGATCAGGAAGAAGATAATAGTAGCTTAAAACAATATGCAAGGAAGTTTGAATCATAGGTTGTTTGGTCCTCTAAAGGAACTGAAGATAACATCTAACATATGTCCCTGAGTTGTTTTTCAGAAACCTGGACCACCACCAAACAGATGCACTGGCACACAGACCTCAGATAAGGTGGAACAGAGGACTGAAGTCTGACCGTCGTTCTTTGTTCTAAATTTCTTTGTAAGTGGCCTGGAGGAAGTCACACCCACAAGCCAGAGCTAATACTCTTTTCTGCTGACCCCAAATTTTTAAACAAAGCTTCTCTTCCTTAGCCAATTGCAAATCAGAAAACCTCTGAATCTACCTATGGCCTGTAAGCCCCCACGTCAAGATATCCTGCCCTTTTAGGCCAAAACCAATGTGTAATCACCATGTATTGATTTATGATTTTGCCTGTAATTTCTGCTTTCCTGAAATTTATCCTTGCCTTTAAAAACCCTCCTTGCAAGCCATCAGGGAAGTTGGGACTTAAATGTGAGCTGCTGGATTCCCTTTCCTTGGTGTCCTGCAAATAAATGCCCTCCTTTCTCAAAGAACTAAAAACAGAACTACCATTTGACCCAGCAATCCCATTACTGGATATATATACTGAAAGGAAAATAAGTTGTTCTACCAAAAAAACACATGCACTTGTATGTTCATCACAGCATTATTCACAACAGTAAAAATATGGAATCAGCCTAGATGCCCATCAAGAGTGGACTGGATAAAGAAAATGTCACATATATACACCATGGAATACTACACAGCCATAAAAAGGCACAAAATCATGTCCTTTGCAGCAACATGGATGCAGCTAGAGATCATTATCCTAAGTGAACTAACACAGGAACTGAAAATCAAATACCACATGTTCTCACTTATAAGTGGGTAGACACTGAGTACACATGGACATAAAGATGGCAACAATAGACACGGGAGACTACTAGAGAGAGGAGGCAGGGAGGGGGTAAGACTTGAAAGACTACCTTTTGGATACTATGCTCACTACCTGGGTGATGGGATCATTCATATACCAAACCTCAGCGACACACAATTTACCCATGTAACAAACTTGCACATATACTCCTCCTTGAATCTAAAATAAAAGCTGAAAAATAAAAATAATCACCCTCCCTTCTCCCACTGCAAAACTCAATGTGGATGTTTGGCCTCACTGTGCTGGGTGAGCGGACCCCAGTTTGGTTTGATAACACACACATAACAATGGAACAGTTTGCCATGATTTAAAGTTATAATATAGACCTATCTTCATTGGCGTAAAAACTTAAGTGATAAAAGCAAGTTACAGAACTATATATAATGTGATCTTATTTTTAAAAGATGTATGTATATATGTGTGTGTGTGTGTGTGTGTGTGTCACTGTGTGTGTGTACACAGAGAAAGGAGAGAGAGGAAAGGGAAGATTCTCATTAAACATCAAGATGTAAATGTATATTTTTGAGAGTGAAAAAATATGGATGATTTCTTTCCTTTTGCTTATTTCTATTTTCTAATTGTTTAACAAGGAATATGACTTACTTGTATAAAAAGTGAAAAAAGGCTGCCAAAAAGAAGACCGAGCAGCTGTGTCTGAAGACTATCATCCAAGTTTACTGTTCTATGTCATATTTAAAAGCAGGCAATATTATGCCATAGATACAGTGATAAGATTCATACACAAATCTCTGAAGTCCACATCTAACACTCTTAAAATCCTCTGACTTTGCATCTCCAAAATGTATTATTAACTGAAAAAACAAAATAAAAATGCAGGAAATGTACGAAGTATGAAATCTGTTTTTTGCAATAAATGTTGACTTTTTAATGCAGCATAATTTTTAATTCATCTTTTGTACTTCTCACTAACTTATGTATTCTATCATGTTTCCCCAGGATTGCACCTCTGTAACTGGCTTAGTGGTTTAGTCTTGATTTAACATTAATTATATTCAAATATCCATAAGCATTTTTTTTTACATTTCTACTGGCCTCTTTTCAAATAGTAAAGAAAGATGACCAGGGTAAAAGTGAACAGTATCAGCACCTAACAGCCAAACTGGTGAATATTTTTTCTCCATTCTTGTTAACAGGAGGTTAACCAAGTAAGTCATATAGAAAATAAGCCACAATTGAGAGTTTGTTGCTAACAGGCATGTAGGAAGCACATATTCTTATTCATTATTCTATTTTGGATTCAATATTAACTTCTCTTGGATCACAATGCTGCCTCTTTTGTTTCTCCATTAACATGGTGCACCCAATGGGAACATCTGCCCAACACTAATGAGCTATTCACAGGAGAAACAAGAACAGGGTACCAGGAGCCAGCGTAAAACAATTAGAAGGGAAGGGAGACAGTTGGCTCCTGACCTACACTGAATTGCTTTTAAGAGACAGAAACAGATTTTTAATTATGTAATCCCTTTGTTCCCCATTTCCTTTAAAATGGAAAGGTCAAATACTCGTTGCAAATGCTGAGGGCCAGAGCTGATATTTTTGTGTCTGTGATGACTGGCTGGACTGAAACCAGAAGAGGCACCCTGTTCAACCGGATGGATGCAAAGCATTTTTTCCTCTTTGTTATTACCCAAAGTCCTGTTTGGAATAATTAGTTAATAACTACTGTCTTTCTCCCTTTTTTAGCTCATTTTTCTTTCCAAACACTATTCTAAGAGAAATTTAGTCTGCCTTTGCTAAGAAAGAGAACTGTTTAAAGGCATACAGATTTGGGATAAACAGAAGTCCAGTTAAGTTTTTTTTTTTTTTTTTTTTTTTTTTTTGCAAGAGTTCACTTTGCTTTGAGGTTGCTTTAACCTACTTTTTCTCATATTTTATTAAGTTTGCATTAAATAATGGAAGAGATTTCTTCTCACACACTTTCCCTCTTCCCTTTATGCCCACCCCCATAAGAGCCTATACCTAAATCCTTCAGAGCCCAGCTAAGTCCACCTCTTCAAAAGCGACTTCCCCGGTTGCATCAGTTCCCTCTGACTTGCTCTTCTCTGATTTCCTGCATGTTTCTCTTTATATCATTCACCCTAGCACTCGAGCCCACATTATCTCATCTTTCATTGGCAAGAAATCTAATAAATGGACTGCATCAGTTCACGTGACAGGAAATAAAAAGAATTAAGGCACCTGTGCCTAGATGTTGAATCAGTGTCATTGAAATCTCTCCCTCCTTCTCCGTCTCTTGGCTCTGCTTTCCTTCTGTGTACTCCCCTTCTCAGGCAAGCTCTCCCTGCAAGGCACTTATACAATCCTAGCAGCTGGAGACCCCAGGAAAAGAAGTCCTCTTTCCCAAAGTTCTAGGAGAAATCCCAGGGCTGATGGTAAGAGGTCCAGCCCTGAGTTACATGCTCACCTCTGAAAGAGGGGTGGAGATCAGCTCTACCCAAAATTCATGTTTCGTGAAGAAAAAAGGAGTGGATCCCAGAAAGAATGGAGGGATTCTGACACCAAATAGAACAATGCTGGATGGACACACGCACATCAAAAAAAAAATTTTTTTAAGTCATCCTCATGACATAGCACCATTACTGCCCCAGATTTATGTGTGTACATCTTGCTTCACCTACCTAGAGAGTAAGTTCCTGAAGATCAGAAACTTTCACTGCTCTCCAGCAACTGGCCCAATATGAAGCACATCATTTAGTGAATGACGTGTTTCAATATCATTCACTAATGATTGTGTATATATAACATTCACTAATGATGTGAGTATTATTCAGGGTTCTCTAGAAGGACAGAACTAATAGTATATATGTATATATGACAGGGAGTTTACTAAGGAGAATTGACTCACACAATCACAGGGTAAAGTCCCAAGATAGGCCGTCTGCAAATTCAGAAGCAAGGAAGCCAGTGGTGGATCAGTCCAAGTCCCAAAACCTCAAAAGTAGGGAAGCCAACAGTGCAGCTTTCAGTCTGTGGTCAAAGGCCCAAAACCACCTGGAAAACCACTAGTATAAGTCCAAGAGTCCAAAAGCTGAAGAACTTGGAGTCTGATGTTTGATGGCAGGAAGCATCCAGCACAAGAGAAAGATGAAGGCCGGAAGACTCAGCACGTCAAGTCCTTCCATCTTCTGCCTGCTTTATTCTAGCCGTGTTGGCAGCTGATTAGATGGTGCCTAGCCAGATTGAGGGTGGATCTGTCTCTGCCAGTCCATTGACTCAAATGTTAATCTCCTTTGGCAACACCATTACAGACACACCCAGGAACAGTATTTTGCATCCTTCAATCCGATCAAGTTGACACGCAATATTAAGCATCATAATGTGTTTTATACTGGGATATATATATACATACACACACACACACAGCAGTCACTAATCGGTGTGTGTGTATATACATACCTATATATATAATTTTTTTCACTGAATAAGAAAATCTCTCTTGCCAAAAAAAAAAAAAATGAGAAGCTCATTGTGAACCTTAGTCTCTATAGGGCTAAGAACACTTTTACAAGCACAGCAGAGGAAATCCCCATCTTTGGGGCCAATAGACAGTGTTTTCAAAGGTGACAAAGGTGACAGGCCCCAGATGCTCCTGATTCCCTGAAATCTCAAATTGTTGGCCACTTCTTGTGCTGTGAGGAAAATTCCAAATGTTCTGCTTCCATTTTGAAGAGCCTAGAGCAGGAATCCATGACCCTTATTCTGTCATGGAGCAGATAATACATATTATAGGATTTGTGAGCCATGTGCTCTGTGTTGCAGCTATTCCACTCTGCTGTTGTAGTTCAGAAAGAGCAGTAGACAATTCTTAAATAAATGAGCATGGCTGAGTGAGTTCCAATACAATTTTATTTATGGACACTGAAATTTGAATTTCACATCATTTTCATGTGTCATAAAATATTGCCTTTTTTTGATTTTCTTTCAACCATTTCAAACTGAGAAACACATTCTTAGCTTGTAGGCGATACAAAAATAAACAGGGATCCAGAATTGATTCATAGACCATAGTTTGCCTAGAGTATTTCACTTTTTTCTAGAAGTTCCTTCTTATGAGTTTACTGGCATAAGATGAAAACAAAAACCAAATTTGGCAAGTTTACATTTTTCATTTTAGGTTAATGTTTTGAGAGCTGATAACCAGTTGAAATATCAGTGTGCATGGTACTTCAGTGTACTGAAGTCTTTCGAATCAGTTCTTAATCTGAGGGCCTACAAAAAAAAAAAAAAAACCTTATTTATTTATTTATTTTGAGATGCAGTCTCACTCTGTCACCCAGGCTGGAGTGCAGTGGCACGATCCAGCTCACTGCAAGCTCTGCCTCCCGGATTTACACCATTCTCCTGCCTCAGCCTCCCGAGTAGCTGGGACTACAGGTGCCCGGCTAATTTTTTTGTATTTTTAGTAGAGACAGGATTTCACCGTGTTAGCCAGGATGGTCTCAATCTCCTGACCTTGTGATCTGCCTGCCTCGGCCTCCCAAAGTGCTGGGATTACAGGCATGAGCCACCGCACCTGGCCTAAAAACAAACAAACATTTAACCGTGTTCACAGAGGTTTTCTAGAACTGAAGCCATACAAGCTTAATAGCAGGAAAAAACCCTGCAGAGATTTAAAAGTCTTATCTCTAACATACTGGTTATTGGATTACCAATTAATATACGGATAATTTAGCTAACATTTCCATTTCCATTTATTCAGCCCCAAATTGATCAAGACACCTAATTCATGGGGAGGAGGGGTTCTAAATTCATATATAAATTCAATCAACATATATTGAATACTTACTATGCTCCAGACATTGGATAGCAGCCACAATGAATATTTTATTTTATTCCACAAGGGAATTGAAGTAGCTAAATAACATTTACATAGTGTTTATAATTATCAAATTGTTTTGAGAATTATTGTGTCATTTATTTGTCATTATGTCCTTTAATTCTCCTCTTAACTTGGTGAATTAGCTGGAAACATTTATATTTTCATGTAAACCCACTTTACTAGAAAGAAACCCAGACCCAGAGAACTTAAGCAACTTGAAGAACAGAACTTGAACCTGGGTTCTTTGGCACTAAATGCTTTTTCTTTCAATGATATCTGCTCACAGATAGAGACTGTTTCAGGCCCTTTGTGAACATGAAATATCTATAGCATACCTGAAATTTTAAAAACTACACATGAAGACAGATGTAGAGCAGTGAGGCTATCAGTCTCTTTGCAAGAACAGAAGTTTAAATTGAAAATCCTATCTCATGAGGCAAATAGAATTTCCAGAACAGAAAATGGTCCTAATTGCTATGCCTCTGGAAAACCCCAACGTTTTGATGGAAATGCAGGCAGCATTCCTACAGAAGATACAAATATATTTCCCCATAAAGGTAGATCAAGAATGCTAAAAGAAAAATCTTAGACAAATTCAGCTGAGGCCTGGTGTGGTGGCTCATGCCTGTAATCTTAGCACTTTGGGAGGCCAAGGCGGGCAGATCATTTGAAGTCAGGGGTTCGAGACTGGCCTGGCCAACAAGGTGAAACCTTGTACCTACTAAATAAATAGCTGGGCTGGTGGTGCATGCCTGTAATCCCAGCTACTTGGGAGGCTGAGGCAGGAGAATCGCTTGAACCCCGGAGGTGGAGATTGCAGGGAGCCGAGATTGCACCAGTGCACTCCAGCCTGGGTGAGAGAGCAAGACTCTGTCTCAAAAAAAAAAAAAAAAAAATCAATTGAAGAAAGTTTAAAATTGAACAGAGTTTAACTGAGCAAAGAGCAATTTGAGAATCTGGCAGCCCCCAAACCAGAGCAGTTTCAGAGGGGCTCCACTGCAGCCACATGGTGAAAGATTTATGGACAAGAAAAGCAAAGTGACATAGAAAATGGAAGAGAGGTACGGAAACAGCTGGATTGGTTACAGTTCTGCATTTGCCTTGTTTGAACATGGTTTGAACAGTTAATCACCCTTGATTGGCTGAAACTCAGTGACTGGCACAAGAGCAGGTTACAGTGTGTTTATACATCCAGTTAGGTTGCACTTTACTATGCATGGAGAAATCTTTAGGCTGAACTTAAAATATGTAAGGAGGCAGCTTTAGTCCAAATGTAATTTAATAGAAATAACAGATGGTCTCATTCTTGCTTCCACTTTGCCAAGCCTTAACCTCTTTACTCTTGCCACACGCATGCCCACATATCTTTCCCTCCTGAGCTAATGTCTGCCCAATAAATGAGAAGCTATCTGAGCAATGGTGGTGGCCTAGAAAGACTCTAAAACAAAGCAGCTGTTCACAATGGACATCAATCATCCCAGGTGTGGAACATGAACTATTACAGAGCCCAATGACCCAGAAGGCACACAGCAAATCAGCATCCTCCTAGGGAAACTCCTACTGTCTCTCAAAAATCACCCTCATTCACCAAGCATCCATGGCCTTGCCTGAGCATTCTATCCCCACACAGAACCCTTCTCTTAGCACAAATTTGGCACTTGAGTAAGCCCTGATGCTTTAATTCAGTGCTATTTAACAGTACCTATATATTCACCACATTGCCAACTAGAATGTAATCTTCTATCAATTTCACTTCCTTATATCCCCGCCCCTTTGTTAATATCTACCACAGCAGTTGGCATTGTGAGAGTCTATTGTATCAGTGGCTCAATTCACACAAGTATTCACACACTGTGTGCTTGCCTCCCATTTAGTTGGGGTTCTCTGTGTGACTAGCTTTAATCATAGAATGACAGTGAAAATGACACTGTGCCAGTTCCCAGCCTAAGACCTGAGATAACCTACAACTTCTGCTTTGAGATCATGGGAATTCTAAGGTACTGTGTAACTTGAACTACTCTGCTGGAGAGAGAGAGAGGCCCTGCCCTCCCAATGTCCCAATTTAATCCAGTCCCAACTGACCCACAAGAAGTGACCACCAGTAAGATAAGCAGAAGAACTATTCAGCTGGGCCCATATTGCAGAACCATAAGAAAATTAAGTTATATATTTTTAAGCTACTAAATTTTGGCTTTATTATGCAACAATGAATAACTGAAACAGGTACTTGGAAAATGTTTTTTGACTCAATAAATGAATGAATAAAGTTTGTGATTTATTCATTGCTTTTGCTATGAAACTACCATAGCAAAAAAATGTGACATTAAAAACTCATAAAGAGGTCAGGGGCAGTCACTCACACCTGTAATCC
Source organism: Homo sapiens (assembly GCF_000001405.40). Taxonomy (NCBI): domain Eukaryota; kingdom Metazoa; phylum Chordata; class Mammalia; order Primates; family Hominidae; genus Homo; species Homo sapiens. Next base: position 39,000,699 of record NC_000014.9, read on the forward strand.
CAGCACTTTGGGGGACCGAGGCGGGTGGATTACCTGAGGTCAGGAGTTCGAGACCAGCCTGGCCAACATGGCGAAACCCCATCTCTACTAAAAATACAAAAATTAGCTGGGCATAGTGGTGGATGCCTGTAATCCCAGCTACTCGGGAGGCTGAGGCAGGAGAATCACTTAAACCCAGGAGGCAGAGGTGGCAGTGAGCCGAGATCACGCCATTGCACTCCAGCCTGGGTGACAAGAGCGAAACTCCATCTCAAAAAACAAAAAACAAACAAACAAACAAAAAACTCATAGAGTGATTGCAAAAAAGGAGAATGCATGAAAAAAAAGAAAAAATAACATTTATTTAGAAATTTCTATGTCCTAGGCACTATATATACCAAGACATTTTCACATTCACATTGCATTTTCTCCACAACAACCCAATGGGGTAGATATTATTTTCCTATGTTTTTTATCGATGAGAAAACTGAAGTTCTGATCAAATTAATTTGGTCAAGGTCAAACAGCCAAAACGTATAAGAACTGGATTCAAATACACATATTTGTGTTTACAATAGCCATACTTTTTCCACTCCATTGTACTGCCCACATAGACATTTGCATCCATTGGGGTATAACTATTAGCCCTAGCTCCATCATTGGTTTTCTTTTTTCTTTTTTTTTTTTTAAGACAGAGTCTCATTCTGTCATCCAGGCTGGAGTGCAATAGTGCTATCTAGGCTCACTGCAACCTCTGCCTACCAGGTTCAAGCGGTTCTTCTGCCTCAGCCTCCTGAGTGGCTGAGACTACAGGCGTGAGCCACACCATGCCTGGCTAACTTTTGTATTTTTAGTAGAGATGGGGTTTCACCATGTTGGCCAGGCTCGTCTCAAACTCCTGCCCTCAGGTGATCCCCCTACCTTGGCCTCCGAAAGTGCTGGGATTACAGGCGTGAGCCACCACCCCCAGCCTCACCATTGGTTTTTCAATGGGATTTTGAGCTGCTTCTGTGACCCCATACACTCAGGTTTTAGCTCCCTGTGCATGACATTACCAAGCTGATCCTGCTGCCCCTTCTGTAAAATACATCCTAACTCCCAGAATGGTTACAAAATTCCAGCAACTTTTCTTGAATGATAGTTGCTTATCTCTTCAGAACAGTCTGGGTGCAAGAAGCCCTTGGAACCAGATCAGACCTGAGACCAGACTCCATGATCCCTCTGGAAGAGATGCACCTGTACCAGTAGTGTCCCAGAAGCTTAGAAAAGCAAGAGGAAAAGGGCTGTGCCCCAGTCCAATGGCACCTCTTTAAATGCACTCCCATACTCTGGTATGCCCATGGTATGCCAGCTCAGTAAGTCTGAGTGTGACAGCAAATAAGTACGCATTCGGAAATGCTCTCCAATGGATTCTGATGCACAGCCAGGTTTGAAAACCACTATTCTAGTCCATTTAAGAATATAACTAATTAAAGAAAAATTCTTAGTCTTTACTCCTCAGAGTATATATCACACTGATGGTGTGTGAAAGGTCATGCATTTTTAAATGTGTGGATCATCTATCTTGGCATTTTCAATTCACTAGATGTCATCACCTTCTTCTTTAATGTTGGCTTGTACAAAAACAGTTTAATATCACAAAAAAAATGAGTTTTTAAAATCTCAGTAGTAACCCTAATACTGATGCCGTTACCCCATATATGACGAGGTAGATTTAGGTTTGGTTCTTTGAACAGATACTACCGCACCTTTACCATAACATATCCAGCTAATATAGTTCAATAGATTTAAGAATATATACCCTGCCTTCATGTTTATTTACTTTGCTTATTAAATGAAATATGATATAACTTCCAAATCAAAGTGTAACCTGGCTAACATCCTCCCATAAAGTTGCTCCTATGTTTGCACTAGAAGTATCCTTGAGAAATATAAGAAAAAACCCACCACTCATGTAACTACATGATCAATAATCTCCATTCCAGAATCTTAGTAGAATCAACACAAAGCCCAAGGCATTTGGAATTGCACTGAGAAAAAAATTACTGATTGTTCGGCAGATCACATACCCTGGTTTGCTTCATGAAAAAGAAGCCATTTGGAAAAGAAATGCACAAACAAAAAATATATTTCTATTCCCCACCTCCAATCCCCTGAGTCCAAAAGAAACACAGCAACCAGAGACTAAGGCATCTGCCCTCTATTCTCTCTTGGGTTCTCCTTCTCTATGTGTCAAACACAATACTCTCCTCCCCCAGCCCACTCCTCCAAATCTCTGCATCCAGGCAGAGATTACAAATTCGAGAACACAGTGGAGTGATTAGTGTATGTACAGAGGTAGGAGGCACTAGGAGGGACTAGTGGCAGCTGGTGGCTTCTGGCTTCTGCCATGGGAGCAATGATTGCTGGGGATTGTGGTTTTTTGTTCATTATGATGGTTTGCATATCATAGAATCAAGCATTTGAGATAGGTGTCACATTAAACAAATGCCCACTAAGAACTGGGGAATTTGATTGAAAGTTCAGTGCATTAACCTCCCTTCACATCTCTTAAAAAAAGATACCACATCAACATTTGTTTGTGAAAAACATGGTAAGGAGGGAATAAGAAAATGTCTATATACACTGTCTGATGACAAACATGGAGTCTAGCTTCGTCTCACCTTGTTCAAGAAAAAAATACAACACAAGTCTATGGGGAAAAATTATAAGATAAGGAAAGAGAACAATATTTAAGAGAGCAAGAAAAAGAGCTAACATCTGAAAATAAACTCTTTTTATAATGCAGAAAAAAATTTCCAAACTCTGATTAATTTCTTAGGCATGGTACAAAAAGACAGAGTTTTTAATAAAGAGAAGCAGAACGAGGAAACGAGATGGTAAAATGATGAAGGATTTTAAGGAAATTAAAAATATTAAAGCATGCAGCACAGTTTTGGTAAATGGTTGGGCAATATCTACTAAAGCTTATTATATATATGCTCTATTATCCAGCAAGCCCTCTAGCAGGTATATTTACCCTAAGAAACTTTTCAGAGGCATCGAGATACAAATTTCAACAATGCTTATAGCAGCATTGTTTGTAGTAGCCAAAAACCATAGAAAACCCAATTGCCCAACTGTTGAGAGGGTAATATGGTAGTATACACAAATAACGACATGCTGTACAAAAAATGAGCAACCTATAGCTAGTCTCAACACAGAGAAGTGTCACAAATATAATGACTTGTGAAAGAAGAAGTCAAACCAAAAATTCAAATTGGTTGATTTTATGTATCTAAAGTTTAAAAACTAAACAACAGTATTTAGGGATGCACACTTGGGTTGCCAAGCTGCTGAAAACAAAAAGGTCAGAGGGGAGGGAGGAGAACACAGAGGTTGGTTGATCACGGGGAACTCACCTGAGCACTCCCGGGGCTTGGGCTCTGGTCCCTGCTAATCCTCAGAGCCGATGAAAACTGGTCATAGGATAAAGAAGCAGCCAAATCTGCAGCAGGCAGAGAGGGGAGGCAGGAACTGGAGAGGACGCGAGTGGTGGGCGGCAGGGGTGGTGTGCAGGGTGATGTCCACCAAGCAGAGAGGGTTCCTTGTTTCCCAGAGCCGAACACAGGAAAATCAGCTGGAAGCCATGGAAATGAATAAGGAGCTGTTGAAGTTGCCAGCTTCCTTGAGTAACTGTGTAAACCTCTCGTCTTCTATTCTCATGGCCAATAGTGCTTCCAATGGTCAAAACTCAAGCCTCAAGATAAAGCATGTAAATAGCCTGAGAAGAGCAGTGTTGGTGCCTAGTGGAGAGGAGCCAGTCAGGGCCTTCAGTTACCCAAGGGGACTTGGATTGCGTAGAATTTAGCGATCTCACTTTGTAGCGTGTCCTTCAGCAAGTCACTTTCTCTGTGCTCCAACTTCCTCCTCTGAAAAACTAGAGAATCTAACTGGATCATCTCCAAGATCCTTTCCAATTGAAAAATTTCATCACCTGTGATGATTTTCCTGTACAATGCAATTTGAGAAGGAAACTAGCATTTATGAAACCACTGATATGTGCCAAATCTTTCACATGTATTGCTATTTCCATTTTAAGTGTAAGAATAATATCAAGTTCAGAGACGTGAAAGAAGTGGTCCAAGATCAATCATCCAGTACCTGGAGGACTCTAGATTCAAACGCACATTTATGAGACTGTAAAACCATTGCTCTTTCCATGACACCATGTTTTTAGGGACTGCCCATCTAATGGTTCCTTACAAGATAGAGCTGCATATAGAGGGGGAAATGTAACCTACTCTATATGCAGCTATAAAAACAAAGAATCTGGATTCTAACCACTTAGCTTCTCCAGAGTCATAATGTGTTAGGAAGGAGTGAATGAGAAAGAATTTTATTGCTTCTCTGGCCTCCCATGTGACTAAGAGATTGCCTGAGATGTGTGTGCAGACTCTCAAAGAAAAAGTTGCATAATCATCAGGCACTGGACCTTGCTGTCATCTCGGTAAACGAAATCCTAGATATGGAATACAGCTGCTATCTCAGCAGCTGGATCCAGCTTGGGATGTGCTTGTGTCCAGCGGAGCCCACGGCAGCCTTATGAAAGCCCTCCTGAGCCTGTTTCTAGAATCTCCTCTGAGACCATAAGAAACTGCCCAGAGCTTAGCCCTTCAGCCCCACTGACAGGCTGGGCCAGTCTCCACCAAGTCCAGGCTCCACCAAGGCCTGGATTCTGGCTCTTTCACTCAGTCATTCATCTGTCCCTGAGTCTTCCAGAGAAAGAAGTCTGCCGAGTGTCCAGAGCAGACAGCGAAGCAGGGAATCAAGGAAGCTCTTGGCCAGCTTGTAGGCAGCCCAAGTCCTGGCATCCCACAGGAGAGGAGAAGGGCCCCTGCCTTTCCAAGCCAAAGGCTCACACAAGCGAAGGATGGGCCTAAAATCCTCACTCTGGAAGCAACTGACTGAGGTCCTGCCACCCAGCCCCAGCCCC